>NC_000013.11:73559621-73711136 GCF_000001405.40 Homo sapiens | reverse complement strand
TTCTGCAGCTTTCTTACCTCTCTCAGCCGTGAAGAACTGAAGAGTGGCCCTTGCTCTGGATTAGGCTTTAGCTTTGGGGGATATTGTAACTGGTTTGATCTTCTATCCAGACCACTCAAACTTTCTCCAAATCAGCGATAAGGCTGTTTTGCTTTCTTATCATTTGTGTGTTAACTGGAATAACATTTTAATTTCCTTCTGGAACTTTTCCTTTGCTTTCATAGCTTGGCTAACTGGCTCAAGAGGCCTAGCTTCCAGCCCATCTCAGCTTTCGAAGTGCCTGACTCGCTAAGCATAATCATTTATAGCTTTTGATTTAAAGTGAAAGATGTATGACTTTTCCTTTCACTTGAACACTTAGGGTTACTAACTGGCCTAATTTCAATATTGTTGTGTCTCAAGGAATAGGGGGGCTCAAGAAGAGGGAGTAAGATGGGGTAGCAGCTGGTCAGTGATGCAGTCACAACACACACAACATTTATCCATTAAGTTTGCCGTCTTGGGTACAGTTCATCGAACCCAAAACAATTACAGTAGAAACATCAAAGGTCACTGATCACAGATCACCATACAAAATATAATAATAATTTAAAAGTTTGAAATATTGTGACAATTACCCAAGTATCACACAAAGATGCAAAGTGAGCACATGCTCTTGGGAAAATGGCGCCAGTAAACTTGCCTGACATAGGATTGCCACAAAACTTGAATTTGTAAACACACACACACACACACACACACACACACACACACACACAGACAATATCTTCGAAATGCAATAAAGTGAAGTGCAGGAAAATAAGATATGCCTGTATATGCAAAAATGGTGTTAAGTTTTTTTTAGCAGTTTACTCTATTGGGTTATCTAAATCAAAAACTGCTAACAACTGTATCTTGTCTATCCCTTGTACCTATAATAGATTTCTTTTAAACCTAAACATGCCATGTTGTATGTGTGGTTGGAGCTGTCCCTTAATGATGGCTTTGCTTGGAAGTAGTGTGTTCCCTATCACTGAAAGTGTTGAGGCACAGGCTGGAAATACAGGACAGAATCATTATTCTGAGGTTGCACATACTTTTTCAAGTCTAAGAAATAATTATTCTATATTCATTTTCTTGATTTGGGCCCATTATTCTAATAAATTGAAATGACTTGAAAGTTCTCCCTACCCACTTTGCTTTCATTATTTTTGCTGTCTGTTTCAGCTTCTTCATCTGTGCCAGGTAATTGATGAATGTATTGAATGGGATGCGTTCAAGGAAAAAACCCTAAGACATGATCCGAGAGGCCTCCATTCAGATAGGTCTTAATTCTTTAAACAGTAGCCAGAATCCACCTAGCTCTCCTGTTTCCAGCTCACATTTCTCTGCCTCACAGTTAAATCTAAATGTCCTTGTGAAATACCTGCCCAAAACCAAGATATGTCAAATCCATTCATCCACTTAGCAGAGAGATAGTTACTATGTGCAGTCATGGCTTCCTTGAACTATTATCAGTCAAATAACATTATTTTTAGAAAGAAAAAAAGTGAAATTTGGTTGATTTTTCTGTAACTAGTTCAAAATGAGCCCATCCTGACTTCTGATTTATAATTATGTATAAGATTTTGTAACAGTGTTCAAAATGAAATCAAAACTATTTCTATAGGGAATCAGGTTGGTTTGCATGCTCTTAGTAAACATCTTCTTAGCCTTACCTTTGCTTCAGGCATATTGAGTAAGTTACTTGTGTGTGACCAACAATTAATTTGGAATTTGGGATTATACCAGTTGACTTACGAGAGCCATGCACGCTATGGGAGGGGAGTAAGTATCAGTGAGAAACTTGCTTTGAGAAAGTTAATTTTGCCTTTAATGCTTCATCTTTTTGTACCATATAAGTACCTGATCAGTCATCTTTTTATTTACAACTTAGTAACTTAAACATATTTGTAGGTATTTGAAAGAGGTACATTTTCTAGATATTAGCAAAGAATTTAGAATAGAAAAAGAAATGCTGAGGAGTGCCTTTCTAAATTAAAAATAAGTATATTTTCATGAGTGTACAGTTTAGATAATAACACGAAGATGTGACCAAGTATTTTTGAATGAGTTTATTAATGCCTGCTTGTGCTTAATCATTTAAGGCATGTCAAAAAAAGGAAAAAATATATCTCAGCCATCACATACACATTATTGTCAGCAGGTTAATTATTTATATCCACTGTCTAAATTGTGGGTCTCTGTACATGAAGCAGTTTACAGAGTATTTAAATAAATATGCATATTCACAAATAAATATTAGTACTTAAATGAGTATGCATTGCCATTTAAATTAATATGGTCATTTAAATATGTGCTATACAAAACAATTATGCACTATGGATTCCCTCACGTTAAGAGTTCTATTGCTTATTAACTGATTTGCATTTGAATTTTAGAAGAAAATAATTTTGTGAATTTGGTTTTGCCTTTTAGAATTCTCACTATTTTCTAAAAAATAAATGCTCTAGTAATTTCTACAATGCAGTAAAAGCAAGTAACATTCAGGCATCAGTGATTCCTACAGCCACTAGATGGTGCACCAGAACCAGATGTTGGGTCTAGTCTAGAAGAGGGTCTGAAGAGAAACTAGAACTCTAACAGTATGTATGACATGACATTAAAATGGAACAATGACACTGACATTATCAGTGTTCTGCAGAATATTACAATTTAATGATGAATTTTTTAAAAGGCAAAATAAAGATAAAATCAAATTTTTTTTGCAAAGGAATTACAATATGTAAAAATAGTCTGTTCAAATGAATCTGGAAATATTTTCTATCCCCAATTGACATACTGTTCTCTGATAAATTTGTGAGGCCCAGTAGGTAATCCTGTATAATATTCATTTTAATTCATATGAAAGCCATACACCTCTAACCTTAAAAATTAGTAAACTTAAGGTAGTCACATTTCTTAGGAATTATTCATATCTGAATTTTGTACATTAAGGAAGTTTATTCATATAGACACTTAAAAATATTAAGCAATTCTGATTTAATGGTTTCCAGAGTATGATCTTCCCTACCTTTATGAAACCACACATTATTTAATAATTTTTCTCTTGATGAATGAAGTCTCTGTAATTAATATCAAATACTATTACATGTTTATTCCATTAATTATATTTGATTACATATTTGGAATGCACACACACATATGTACACACGCCCCTCCACACATAGCGATCCTAAATGATTGCAGATTCTGTCTTTTCTCACTTTCTTACTTGCCTCATCATTTCTTGCTGCTATTCCAGTATTTCTTGCTTCTAATTTGAATCTTCATCTTCATTTACTGGATGAGATTCTGAAGTGGTTTGAGGATATTCCTACAAAGAAAATCAGGGGCTTTGTGACAGCTGTGCATCCTGGTGGCCTTTTGTTCGCAGGTGCTTGTGGTTGCTAGATCTTAACTTCAGACGAGTGAGTGCTGCTGTTCATGACTTCACATCTGTATTCATTAATTAAATAGCTCATTCCACATAAAGCTCCATTTCAGACCCCCCCATCTAGGTTCCTTGTTAGATAAAGCATAGTGCTTAGTGATGCCAAGATAATAAATCATTTAAGAGCACACTGACATTTTTCAAGGAAAAATCCTCTCCCCGTAAGTTGTTTGTAAGTCCTGATCAAATAGCTCATGAATATGAGCTATATTGGTAACTGCTGAGACATTAGAAAATATAATAGAAATATCACCAAACTTGAAGTCCAGAGACAAAAGTTTCAATCTCTTTGGCCCCTAACTTGTTAGTGAACTTAGACAAACTACTTGTGTGAATCTCAGGTTTTCTTTTTTACCTTTGAACACAAACATACCTCTTCGAGTGCTTTACATATACTCATCACACATGTAAATCCCTGGAAAGGAGCAAGGTTAGGGCACGTGGACATGGGCAGGTATTAGGAAAGCAGTAGAGCCAGGATTGAAACTCTGGTTTCTCTCGAGCCTATGCTTTTCCTTATATCTGGTCTCAGACTAGTTTGCTGATAACCTACGAGTCTTCTCTCTTCACTGGAACCGTGCTCCTATGCATGTCTACCCAGCAGTACCTACCTGTTCAGCATCAGCCCTTCAGGGACGGTAAAGTAATGAGAGAGCAAGAGACTTTAATCTGTTTTTAAGGCTTTAATTAACATAGAGTGGTCTTTCTCCATAGTCTACTAAAATTTTGTTAGAAGCCAGTGAGAAGATGTGGACCAAAAGCATTAATCATTAAATAAAATTAAATAGGCTGCTCTTGAGTGCTTGTTTGGCACACAGCTCTTTGAATGTAATGGGTGCTGTGTACAAATGAAGACAGCAAGGAGTCCTAAATCTGGTGGGAGAGACAGCCTCATTCACACATATCCAGCATATAAAATAATACGTAATAGGAAAGCCCTGAGCGAGCTCTATGCAGGTTGCTACAGCAGCACTGAAGGGGTCATTGGTCCTGACTGGGGGGATGCAGCAAGCATCACCTGCCTATGCAGACAAGCATGTTTCAGTGCCACCTCCAACAAGGAAAACAAAAAATTTGGATTGGTAACAAAATGTTTTGCAGGTGTAGCACTTATTTTCATCAATGGGGAAGAGAGTCATTTTAACCTATCATGGAGAGTTACTGTTTAGACACACATGCTTAAGATTTACAATGATTGGAATGTAGGCAACCATTCTGTACATAGTTGAACAAATTTTGTTTTAAAAGTTTTACCTTATTTTTATTTAAAAAACAGTTGATCTTTTTTCCTATATTTAGAAAAGACTTCTAAACCTATCAATTAAAAATAAGTTGATCTTTTTTCCTATATTTAGAAAAGACTTCTAAACCTATCCATTATTACCTCATTTAAATAAATAACTAAATGAGTTGTGTTTCATAATTCTGTTTGTGTTAGCATATAAATTATCAATGACAGTGCAAAGTTAAAGATGCCATTGGTTTTGTTTGTTTGTTTGTTTGTTTGTTTTGAGATGGAGTCTCACTCTGTCGCCAGGCTAGAGGAGTACAGTGGCACGATCTCGGCTCACTGCAACCTCTGCCTCCCAGGTTCAAGTGATTCTCCTGCCTCAGCCTCCCAAGTGGCTGGGACTACAAGTGTGTGCCACCACGCCCAGCTAATTTTTGTATTTTTAATAGAGACGGGGTTTCACCATGTTGGACAGGATGGTCTCGATCTCATGACCTTGTGATCCACCCACCTCTGCTTCCCAAAGTGCTGGGATTACAGGCGTGAGCCACTGCACCCGGCCGCCATGGGATCTTTATCGTGTCTTTGTGACATCATTCTCCTTCCTTTGCTTCTGGCTTCATTTTATCCATACATCCATCAAAGCTGGGTTATATAAAAGGTATGGAATAATAATATCTTCAGTCTTTCTACTTTCTCTCATTCTGCCTAAGAATAACTAGATTTGAGTGTTGGTCATATCCTAAATGGTAAAATTAACTACTAATATAAAATTTGTGGTTTTAATGGAATTATTAAAGACAATAAGGAATTGTATTTTGATAGAACATAGATTCATCATTAAAGAATATATAAAAATAGGATTGGACACATTGGCTTACACCTGTAATCCTAGCTCTTTGGGAGGCTGACGTGGGAGGATCATCTGAGGTCAGGACTTCTAGAACAGCCTGGCCAACATGGCAAAACCCATCTCTACTAAAATTACAAAAATTAGCTGGGCATGGTGGTGTACACCTGTAGTACCAGCTACTCAGGAGTCTGAGGCAAGAGCATCGCTTGAACCTGGGAGGCAGAGGTTGCAGTGAGCTGAGACCATGCCACTGCACTCCAGCCTGGGCGACAGAGCAAGACTCCATCTCAAAATAAATAAATAAATAAAATGTTGATTCATAATGCTTATGATAATTCAATTAAAAATCTCCATAACTAAGAATAATACAATTGTAAGAGATATATTTTAAATGTTAAAATAATGCTCATTTGAGCAACAGAATACAAGGCTCAGTCACACGTTACTAATTTCAGAGGTTTAAAACAAAATATTTGTTTGCAGACTAGAACTGTAAGTGGCACTAGTATTAAATGATACCTCACAAATATATTTTTATTTTCAAAAGTATGTATTCTAATTCATTAGACAAGAAAACATTATAGAATAGATAGAATGTAAACAGTGTACTCTCTTTGTCTCACAAAATAGATTACTCTTATGTTGACCCTCCTATGTTCTATTTTTAAAAGAACAAAGTATTTAAATTAAAGTAGTTTCACTCCTTTGATCAACAAGTCTTTATTAGCACACAGCACTAATGTGTTAGGCCCTGGGGATACAGTGGTAAGAAGGCTCAAAGTCATCCACAGTACGGCACTGCTGAGTCGGCACTGCTGAGTCGGACAGAGAGGAAAACCTTCAATCACAGCGTGGTGTGAAGAGAGTGTCTCAGGGTACTATGGGGCCAACAAGTGGCATGATCAGATTATCTTTCAAAAAGTTTTCTTTCTCTACAGCATGGACAATAAATTGGTGTGCATAGGAGGCAAGACGGAGAAACAGAATCATTAGAAACTGGTCCTGGTAAAAGGTGGAAAGGACCTAAAGCAAGGTAGACCACCACTGTGGGGATAAACTGGGAGGATTGCTGGATAGATTTTAGAAGGCAGAACTGGCAGATGTAATTATCAGAGTGGGGCAGGCAGGGAGTCACACAGAGGGAAGAGTCCAAGAAATCTCTCCAACTGGAGACATTGACGATTTGGTACCTGAGTAGATGGAATTACTGTTTTTCCAGAAAAACCGGAAGAGGAACATGTTTAGGTGGCAAATGCTGAGCAAGTTTTGCTCATATTGAAGATGCTTTCAGACCACCAGTTGGAAATGTCCTGTCTCCCTCTCTGGCGCTTAGGAGAGAGACTGAGGTATAGCTGCTTAGGAGTCTTTTCCCTTATAGGTTGTAGTGGAAGACATATGAGCCAAGAGGAACACCTGCCACGCGAGAAGTTAAGTCAAAATCTTTGGAAACGTTTATGCAACAGGTAAAGGAAGAGGTCTCTGCAAAAGAAACCAAGGAAAAAGTAACCAGTCACATAGGAAAAGAAAGGTCACTACGTAGAAATGAAAACTCAGAACAGCCAAATAAAATATTGTCTTTTGACCTTGAACTTTTTACTTACACTAAAGTTCACTTTTATTATGGGATATTTTAGTTCACTTATATCGGATTTCTGGGTGAGAAGGGCTAGCCTGTGTTTGTTAACACTATTGTCTGTCCTGTGAGTAGTAGCTCACATTTGCAGTCTCCGTGCCCAGTTCTGACCAGATATCCTGGTTTATGACAGCACTAATTTAAAATGTTGAGAGGCAGGGTGAGTGGCAATTGAGACACATGCTAACTGGGTGACGACACTGGGTGAAGTGGGGTTAGTTATTGCAACGACTTCTTTAGGAAGTTATCAAAATTAAATGAGGTAATATCCATAAAGCTCTTAGAGCAAAGTATGGTACATGGAAAGTACTATATGCTTTAGCAAATATAATTTTTATCAACAATACTTATTAGAGAATATGCAGTATTATTTAGAGGAGGAAAGAAGGAACCCACTTGGTCTTCATAATACCTAATGAAAAAGATAGCCAATTAATTCAGTCCAGGCAATTCAGTAGGATGGAGACTGGCATATTGATTACTTATTTGATTGAATTGACAGGACCAAATGGACATTATGGAATAGATTGGTCTGCTTGGCCTATAAAGTACCTTTATACTTTAAAATGTTAAGAAAATCGCATCAGGATTGGCATCTGCTTACCCCAAAACTATAATTAATTGCTGAAAAAATAGCAAACAGGATCCATTTTTAACTTTATATTATTTTTATTTCTTTATAAAAACAGAAATACCCTGAATTTTGTAAATATAAAATATCCTTTATTGAGTGGGTATTATTTGCCAGGTATGTAGTGTGTGTATTTTTGAGTTTCCCAACAGTGCTGCAGGAGTAAATGGCATTCCTGTTTTACAGATGAGGAAACTGGGAAACTTTCAAACTGGGAAGCTTTCAGAAAGCTTAACTTTTTGGCCTTGGATCAATCTCATATAGGTGACTAAGCCTGTATATGGCTGTGTGCTCTTTCAGATTTCAAAACCTGTGGTATTGTATGCTGCCGTAAACTATGAAGAGGTATAGCCGCCTGGTCTGTCTGCAGACAAGTCAGGGGCCTTGTAATCTCAGCTCTTTCCCCGCCTCTAGGTTTCAGTTTCCTCATCTTGAAGGTACCTAATTTCCTTCCAGATCTAGATTCTGTGAACTTTCATGAACTAATGTAACAGAAACCAGAAGACAAGATAGGAATCTTGATTCTTGTTTTTTTCCTCATATGCAAATACCATTCCTCAAGTGAAACAGATTGTCACAGCAAATACGTTGAGCCTTGAATGTAATGAAGCTCATTTGTCAGTGTCTGGGGCCCCGTAACTTTATAAAAGTTAAACAGGGACACGTTTCAGAAATGCACTTCTGAACCTAAGAAAATGCCTGTGCTTCCTGTTGCAAAAGGTGTTCCTTTTCAGTTGCTTGAGAAAATAATAGAGAAGCTGATGAGAACATGGATGTTTTGTTTAACACAGGCTTTTTCAAACTGCACATTCCTCTTATGTGCGTTGCTCACACGTCATTTTAATATGAAAGGGCACCTGTCTTTTGTCTCAGTACACATGTACCTTTCAGCATTTCAGATGGCGAAATGGGAGGTACCTGAAAAAGTTATTTTTGTTTGGTGGGTTTTGGGAATCCATTCAATACCTGGTGTTTTCTTTAGACTTTATTCTGCCTTCTGCTGGGTAAATGTCATGGAAATGCACTTAGTGACTCTTAATCCTTTTCTTTAACCAAAATTGAAAGAGACAGCCGTTTTCATAATCCATCAGTTGGTTATTTCAAGAAAAAACAAAACAAAACCCTGATGTGAGTTTTTGTTTTCCCAGAACACTTAGTCTATTTAAATAATACCTACATTTTTATATGCTGCATATACATAGAAAGTTGTATTTAACATGAACTCCGAAATGGAGTTACAGAGTTTTCAGGATGAACAATAACAACCACACCTCCCCCACCCTTTTTTTGTGTGTGTGTGTGGTATGTCGTCTTTTTTAACATTTAGAGGACTATTTCACTTTAAAAAACAGATGCTCTTCTTATTAGTGTTGGTTAACACGTTTCTTTTTCAGAAGTTTTCCTAGTTTAGTCCAGGTTTTTCACAGAACTGGAGAAGCACAGGTTGTGGTGAAAATGGTCATATTCTTTTTTTTTAAATACAAAACCTGGAAGTGGCCTAAGGATTTATCATGGGACATAGAGACCATCCCTTCAGAATTGAAGACCTAGAAGTTAATAAGCTATACACCAAGCACTGGCATGGTATCACCCAGCTAGCCACCCGTTACCCAACTAGTGTCCTTTGATTTTTCTCTTTACATCAAAAATGTAATGTCTCAACTTAAAAACAAAAAAAACTTATTAAGATTTATTGGCAAAGAAATGCACAATACCTTTTTCTGTAAGTTTGCTCTTTCATAGATTTAATATAAGAAACCAAAATCAAAGATTATCAAATCAAAGTAAAGTCAAAACTTTAGATTATTCAGAAAAACATAAAACACATTTTTAAAGACTATTGTCAAAAGAGGTTGACTGTGTACTTGTGAGTTAGACAAAAGAAGCAAAGAAGGTAGGTAGGCTGTCTTTATTTTTAGCTTATTTCCAGAGAAAATAGTTTTGAATAACACATTTGCACATTCCTCTTATGTGTGTTACAGAATTCAAGTAATTTGAAGAATTCTAATTCAAATGAGTTTAGGGGAAATGCATTATTTCTAAAGAAATTAATAGAAATCAAGTTTCTGATCACCACTGCTCAACCTGATGCAGAGTCGCCCAGGTGCAGCAGCAGCCCAGGCCCTGGGAGGGGTCTGACTCCATTTATTGTCCCAGCCAACTCTTTTCATAGGAACATTTTCATGGAAAATTCACCATTCTGTCCCTGCTGCTGACTTCTTAAAAATTATATTTAGCTTTCTATTTTCTAGCAAGTTTTTAAAGGAAAGAAGACAAAAAAGACAATTCTGTTCTTTATGATAGCCTTTCAGGGCTCATTTACACATACTACTGGATATCTTACAAACTTAATTATCTTTCTAATTAGTTTTTTTACTCTCATCATGAAGTTAGTTTCTGCTGTCTTAATGTGTTTATAAGATTGTGTGCTTTAAATTGCTTCAAAGCACAAACATAAGATACAGTGTCCTGTTAAAACACAATGCAGTAGCTACTCAAATTTTTGGTATCCATTTCTAAAATTTCACTAGTCTAAAGAGAGCACTTATAGACTTTCTTTCCTGTTTTGTTTTGTTTTTTTTAATGAAATACTAGGCACTGGGCGTATATAATGAAAACAGGTCTCTCTTGAGCTCTCTGGCTGGACACAGTAGCCATCTTCTCTTCCCCTACCCCCATAACTCAGCCTCTAATTTTGAGGAGAGAATTGAAGATATTGTTTTCTTTTTTTTTTAAGCATGGTGAGAGAATGCTTAAATTCTAATTTTATTAATGGGGCAATGGGAGCGAAGAATATTATGCATAGGATTTTTGGGGGGATCGTAAAAGTGTATGTTTTTATAAGGAAAATTTCAAGGAAAATTCATTTTATCACTTAGATAATTAAATTACTGTTTTCTGATATACTTTCTTCCCCCTCCCCCACATAGGAAAGGTTTTCATTCCTTATTACATGCCTTCATTAGTTACTTAGCCCCAAATAGCTTATAAATTTTTTTATTATTATTTTTTCTTTTTAATTAATTAATTAATTTATTTATTTATTTTTTGAGACAGAGTCTTGCTCTGTCACCCAGGCTAGAGTGCGGTAGCACCATCTCAGCTCACTGCAACCTCCACCTCCTGGGTTCAAGTGATTCTCATGCCTCAGCCTCCCAAGTAGCTGGGACTACAGATGCACGTCACCACACCAGCTGATTTATTTATTTGATAGACATAAGGTTTTGCTATATTGCCCAAGCTGGTCTTGAACTCCTGGCCTCAAGTGATTGATCCTCTCACCTCAGCCTCCCTAAGTGCTGGGATTACTGCCATGAACCACCGCATCTGGCCTAGCTTATAATTTATATATCATTTTTATTGATTTTATTCGTGGAGTAGGGAAGTATCTGCCTCTTGTATTTCTGAGGCCTCTTCCCTTGTTTTTCACGATTGTTTATTACACTTGATCACACTTCACTTGCACTGTTTCCCCACTCTACATTTATGGGCTCAGACAAACCCTTGCTCTACCAGGTGCTGTTTTCCCTGCTGCTTCTGCCTTTAAAATAGCCATCTTAGAAACAGTTCCAAACATCTCAGCTTCTACTTTCTGATCCTTCTCATGTTGTAACCCCACTTCCCAGACTCAATAGGAAGGTAACTCATCAGTGTTCACAGTGGCTATTTTAATACAACAGTATTTAAAGGAGCTGGAGGTGAGGTGGGGCACCATCGTAATGTAGAATCCTTACTTTTGGTTACCAGGTGAAGTATGGAGAGGCACTCCTGATCTTCATACCATGTGACCTTCACCCTCATAGGTGAGGTTATTGTACTTTTTTAATGAGCAGAAGATTCTGAGGATATTTTTAGGTCTGATTGAGTTGGGTGAGCCTTTTTCAATTTTTTTTAATTTTCATTTTTAAAAATTATTTATTTTTATATTTTGGAGGCGGGGTCTTGCCTGGTCACACAGGCTGGAATGCAGCTGCATGATCATAGCACATCTGTAGACCAGAAGTCTTGGTCTCAAGCAATCCTTTCACCTCAGCTTCCCGAATCGCTGGGGCTGCAGATGTGAGCCACTGCACCTGGCTACGTTTTTTTATTTTTATTTTTTTTTAGAGATTGCAGTGGGGGGGTGGGGGGGCTCACTGTATTGCCCAGGATGATCTCGAACTCCTGGCCTCAAGTGGGATCTTCCTGCCTCAGCTTCCCAAGTAGCTGGGATTATAAGCCTGAGCCACTGTCCTCAGTGGGTGAGTCTTCTAAGAGAGTGACTCATTTCCTGTTGCCCAGAAATCAATTTGAAGTATTTGAAATATCATGTGTGTTTATCACTGAGAGGACTGTTAGAATTTGAATCGAGGATCCTAATTTGAGATTAAGTGATTGAACTGTAACTAAAACATTCCCTCACCCACCCATTTCCAACACCCAATGTGTAATATATAATCCCAATTCAATAAGCTAACATATTCACGAAGCTTACAAAAAGCAGAGATGGCCATCTCTTATAAAAATCAGGGGTTGGCAAACCCCTTCCATAGAAGACTAGATAGTAAAGGTCTTAGGCATTGAAGGCCATACATTATATGTTGCAGCTATTCAACTCTTCCATCTCTGGAAAACAGCCGGAATGATGTGTAAATAAATAAATGTGGCTGTGCTCCAATAAAAACTTATTTATGGACACTAAAATTTAAATCGTATATAATGTTTATGCATAAAATATTCCTCTTGTTTTTTCAACCTTTAAAATTGTAAAAGTGGGGACTGCAGTTTACTACCCCCTGCTCCAGATTTTCAAGTGGAAAGGACATAACTACCATTATTAAATAGCCAACATAAAAATGAAAGTATGACTGGTATCATTTTAAGGAAGAAATTAGAGAATTTTAAGTGACTCAATTGGAAGTACAAAAAAAGCTAGACAGCACCTGAGGTATAAATCATCTCTACCTTGCTACCAGCCTCTCACATCCTTGTTAAGATGAGCCTGGAAGTTCTTGTCTACCTCTCCTCCCCAGGTGCACTCCTGTTATGGAACCCCTTCCTTCACTATCTGGAATGTAAAGGGCAGGATCCAGCAGCTTATCTTTTCTTTTCTTTCCCCCTCCCCTCCTCCTTCCCTTTCCCCTCCCCCTTTCCTCTCTCTTTTCTCTCTTTTCTTTCTTTCTTTCGGGGTCATACTCTGCCACCCAGGCTGGAGTGCAGTAACACAATCATAGCTCACTGCGGCCTTAAACTCCTGGACTCAAGCAATTCTTCTGCCTCAGCCTCCCCAGTAGCTGGAACTACAGGTGCATGCCACTGCACCTGGCTAACTAAAAAAAAAATTTTCTGGAGAGACAGAATGTCACTTTGTTGCCCAGGCTGATCTTGAACTCCTGGCCTGAAGTGATTCTCCCACCTCGGCCTCCCAAAGTGCTGGGATTACTGCCGTAAGCAACCACACCCAGCCAGTTTATCTAATCTCATGTTTACTCCCTCACCAAGACACGTCCTTCTATACTACACAACTGAGCAACGCTCATCTCCAGTGAAGATGAAATTTTATTGTTTTCTTTTTAGGCCTTACACTCTCTCTAGCTGGTTCCATAGCAACACAGGAAATAGCTAAGAAATGGCTCTCGGTGACCAACATCCAACTAGCTCAGCTCAATGTACCAAAGATGGATGTATTTTTGAAAAGATGAATTTTATCAAGCTCAACTATGCTCATAGTATAAATTTCAAAAACATGTAGAGATGACATGTAACACGTAAAAGCATGTAGATAATACTATATAGTAGACCTCCAATCTTTCTAAGTTAGGGGTTTTGCTGATTTTTGTTTCATTTCTGTCAAACTTTGGTCAGTAGACACATGCAAATGCAGTTTTGTCTCCATGGGACAACCACAGTGAATCAGAAGTTGAGGTTTGGTGTCAATCCAGGCAGTAGGCTTTTTCTTAAAAGGAGCCCTTTCAGAAAAACCTAGAGCAACCTGGGGCCACAATTAGTCCATCAGTATTTCTAGATTTAACAGGCCTGAACTATTCACTCTCTTCTGAAAGGGCTGCTTGATCCTGTAAGAATCCACACAGACAGCATTGATTTAACAGTTGAATGAAAAATGTTGGGTCCAGTTTGGACTAGTTTTCCCATGTAGGCATTACCTGCACATCTCATTTATAGGGTCCTGTAGTTTACCATATATGTTCCTATGTGTGTGTATTTGTGTGTGTGTGTGTGTGTGTGTGTTGCAGTTGTATTAATACATTCAAGTACTTGCTTGGCAGCTATTCTAGGCTCCAGTGACACTGAAATAGTAGAGGCAGAATAGTCCCAGATCTCCAAGTATTCGGAAACTGGTACAGAAGGGCGTCTAAACGAAATCTTCATGGTATATTGTGATAGGTGATGTCATAGAAATAGGAAGTGAATAATTTGGTCATACCTAAGAAAGTGACACTAACTCTGTCTGAAGTTGTGACAAAATTTAGATGGGGTAAGAATTAATCCATTCCACTGTAAAATAGTGAAAAGCACTGGATTGAGAGCCATGCACATCTTTTTACTGGCTTTGAGTAATGTTACTACCTGAAGCCTCAGTTTTCTCATCTGTGAAGTGGTGTCAACAATACCCCCTTTGTAGCTTTGTGCATGAGGAACAGCAGATAGCTCCCTTCCCTATCTTAGGCTCTTTTCACCAGAGGCCATATGTGGCCAAGGAGCACATTGTAGATTGTTGGGTGTAAGGGGCAGAAGAGAGATCAGTTTTTGTGGGGTTGCATGGGGACAAGCCTCCCATTCTGAATGAGATCCAGGAAAATGGCACACCTGGGTCAACTATTGTCCCACTCCCCCTGGGAGCTCATTTGGACAATGGCTAGTGTATCTTTTCCCAGCACAGCCTTTGCATATTTTACTGTCCTTACAAGTTGACTGAGAGACCCGGTCAAATTACATGCTTCTTCAGACAGCTTTTCTCTGTGAATTTTAGCTCTAGGACCAACGTGATGATTTCTCAGGGCTTACCCTGATTCTTAAGTCCTGAAAAATGTACTTAAACTTTACACTATTAAGGCATCTAGGATTTTCCCCCAAAGAACAAGCAAAAAATAGATATCTATGAACAATATGTACTTAATACCTGATATCTGGAGGTAGTAGAGTACATTATCGTTCAGTAAAATTTTGTGTATATTCTTGGACATTGTGTTTTAAAATAGCCTTAAGCCATCTAAGTGATGCACAGTTGGTAGGGGGAAGCGTGGGGGGGTGTTGAAACAAGGCATAACTGCTTGACCGTAAGAATTCTTTGTGACTTTCAGCCTTAAAATCAAATCAAACTGGGTAAAGCTTTAGTAATTTCTTTTTAGTCTACTAGTGGTGATATATCCAGTGGCAGTCAATCCATGCCTTTATATGTTGATGGCAAAGTCATAATGGAGGACACCAGTGTTAACTAGCTTGCCAGATGTCACAGCAGGCAAGACGAGATTGAAACCATCACCTGTCTGACCCAGACCGCTGGTGGGATGGTAAGGTTTCCCGACAAAGATTTACCAACGGGAAAATTCATTGAGAACACCAGTTTCCCAAAATAGAGTACTGGCCTGGTTATGGCAAAGTGATGGATGGAGCACCAAAGCTTGTGTTCCTTTGTTTCTTCCAGGAGAGAAACCTTACAAGTGTACCTGGGAAGGCTGCACCTGGAAGTTCGCTCGTTCAGATGAACTGACGAGGCATTACCGCAAACATACGGGAGTGAAGCCATTCAAGTGCGCGGACTGTGATCGCAGCTTTTCCCGGTCAGATCATTTGGCCCTGCACCGCCGGAGGCATATGTTGGTGTGAGGAATGCTACCTGTCCAGCTGAGCGTAAGAGCTGGATCTCTTAGCGGCACCCAATTCAGCAGGGCTGAATCCCCTTCACAGTGTTAACACAAAAGGGCATCACCATCCCACGATGTCTGAAACCAGAGCAGGAAAAAGAAGGCACACTTCTTTTGGTCTGAAGGTAACCCCCATCATGACTAGACGAGAACCGTCTTTACCCGGGCCTGGGAGCTCAGTGACATAAATGCTGAAGAGACAGGCATTGTTTTCCGTGCTGTGTCCTCTGCCATTTAAAGATGTTTGTAGCTTGTACATTTTCTGAGCTGTCAGACATTTTGTTATTGATACCTTAAAGGTCACCTACCACAAATTGATGGCTAGAGCAAGACCTTTTAAATTTGGATGAATCTCCCATCATCCCATCCCTTAACCCCTTTTTACAGAAATTTTAGTTACAATCTGAGTAAGCTAGAACACACATCCAATCTGTTACCAGCAAGCAGCATGAAAGTAGAAACGAAGAAGCAGATGGAGAGGTCCCATTACCTGCAAAGAAAGGGCACTCAGGCAGCCCTTTGCAATCGCGATGGCAGCCACTAGATATCACTCTCAACTTGTCATTCTGCCATGCCCTGAAGAAAACCAACATTGAATCTTTCATTTGTTTGTCGTTGATTGTTTTTGTTTTGTTTCGATTCTGTTTTGTTCATCTGTTCGAGCAGAGGGGCAGTTGAAGTCTCGTCCTGGTCTCTGCCCTGGCATGGACTGGCACAGAGGTGTTCTGTAGTTGAATAGGAAGAGCCTGTCTAAAAAACTACTGCCCCACTTCAAATTGCAGTGTTCTGTCACCTAGGCATCATCTCTTCCTGCCCCTAGTATTTGATTACAAGGAACCAGGGGAAAAAAACTTTCTTAGACACACTGGCACCAAGGTAAGAGGTGGGGCTGCCCAGGCAAAGTCAGTGAACATGAAAACTCAGACAAAGCAGAGATGGAAATAATGCGCCTCTTGAGGAGAAAAGCAATAATGAATAAAAGGACTTTCCTACAATAACTTCACTGAGGACTCACGTTACCAATTTTCATACTTACTAAAGGGATTGTAAAAAACACCCCAGCATTTTAGGTGTCTTGGTTCCATTTACAGCACTGAGGTAATCTTTCTGCTGTTTGTTGTCCTGCTTGGTTGAGTACCACAATTAAAGATTATGCTCCCCTTTTCTTGTTTGAAAACAGTTATTTGGTGACTAGAAAGGCAAGGGAGGCATAGCCGGGAATTAACTCTTCGGTTAATGGGTCAGTTCTCCTTGGAACTGAATCAGTGGAAAGAGAATGCTTCCCATAGAAAGCCCGACATGGTGCTAGTTTCCTCTCTTGGAGAGCCAAGGATAAGTGACTCTCCAATAGGTTCTTCTATACCGATTTCATTTTCTAAACTGTATCAGGACCCAGGTGTCCTGCATTGGCATCTGCAGGGATATTGAACCCACTCATCCTGTGCAGAGGATGAGAGGAAGGTGTTAGTTCCATCAGCCCCATAAAATTATGAACCTTTTTGCAACTAGGAACATATACAGTAAACAAGCAATACATCACCAACGAGCATTCTTTCAGAAAAATTACCATATTTTTGTCCCCACCACAAGCTGGGTTTTTTTCCAGCTTTCTGTGGCTGAGGGGCTGGTGAGATTTTTTGTTGTTATTGTTGTTGTTGCTAGAATTTTTTATAGCTTAGATATAAAAGGTCTCCAACAAAGACCTTTGCAATATATTTTAATTACAAACACTTGATTTTGGGAATTGCACATATTAACCTCACAATATTACTAGCTCATTTTTAAATGTCTGGACATTCTGAAATAATTTCCGGTTACAGAATTACCCTTTTTAGGATCATCTTCTAATTCAGATAATCTTATTCTGATGAAGCGAGAACTATGAACGTTGAAACAAGGACAATTTGTGTTGGATGGTATTCAAAAGGAATTTTTTAAAACATTAAGCAACAGTGTAATGATTTTCAGGTCAAATTATGGCTTCACAAATATGTGCTCTATATTGTCTGCCAGGTCTCAAAAATTCATCAAGCAATTTCCCTCCAACAAGGGCTGCAGTTCTAGTGATAAATAGCATCTTTAGCTGCACAGTCTACTACTCATCAACCAGTGGGTTTTTTTTAGCACCTGGAAAGTTTTTTTGTACTATATGCAACTCCTACTTCACATTGCCTGTGACCATTCAGAATAGAAAAAGGTCTGTTGATGCATGCCAGTGCTGGTTACTAGTCAGTGACAGAGAACACAGAGAGGGACAAACACAGCCATGAACCCCCTGGCACTAGTACCAGCACCTAGTTGGCAAGTAGTGGGTGCATCTCTCAAGTGAAGTGTAGATTTGTATTTAGTCCTGCTTGCTCTCATAAAAAGAGCCAGTTCTTTTCTCTGCTGAAAGATGTCTTGAGAGTATTACAGGTAGACTTGGTTTTTAGAATTCATAAAACTGACAGGCAGGGGAATCTTCCTGAGTGACAGCTTGGTTTAAATTTAGCACAGAACTAGATGAGTTGCACTTTTCTAATAACATAGGATGGATTTGGGGAAGGGAACATTTTCCCTCATCCTCTGAAAGTGGAAACCAGACTGAGATGGTAAGTTAACTGATAAAACCTGTCAGCATTCCATCATTTTCCCCTTTTGACGTATCAGTACTTCTAAGAAGGGATCTAAGCACAATTAAGTGAATTGAGTCCCTGGTCTAGCCTCAGGAACTGAAACTTCTTTGGGGCTTGTCTTGAGACGTGGCAAATTCTCCTTGGTGAGTTTTCTAAAAGTATTTCCCCATGGAAAGGAGAAAGTGGTTTGGGACAGAAAGAAATGGAATGTCTTCAGTCATGGAAGAGCCTCCATTTCATCTCATGTCCATTTCTAGCCTCTTTCAAAAAGCACAGTGCATCATGAGCAACAGAAAAGCAGTAGAATCCTAAAGGACATAACAGTTGTTCCGTAACTAGAAGCATTCTTTGATTTTAAATTTGAAGCTGTTCAGTTTGCAGCTGGGGATATGTGCATGGTTGGGAACTTATACACATAGAGCCATTAACTACTTAAGCAGCTGCAGTAGACCTGATTTTCTGTTTGCAGTATAGAGATTGATTTCAAGGGAGTTACATTATTTGAAAAGTTATGACTTTCAGCCTTTGAGGTTTTAAGAATCCCTTTTCATGGTCTGATCTTAAGTTGTTTGAAAAAAGATTCACGCTTCTGCATCCACCTCTGCCCTCATTCTGTCAATTGTGTGTGGACTCTGAGAAGCCTGCTTGATAACTTGTCTTAAGTTCTATTAAGGCAGTTAGACTGAGATTTCTAATGACTTCACCATAAAGATTATACTTCTGCCTGGCGTCGTTTCTATAAAACACTATAGGACATTTGTTTTCAAAAGCAGTTGAGTAACAGCAACATAAACCACATTTTTTAAAAAAATGAGCACTTTTCATTCACTTGAAAGCTTAAGTGGGAAAAAGGAAGATGATTGTCAGGGGAAAAACTTACAAAATGCTACAGTGTTTACAAATGCCAGTTCCAGGTGATTAGAAAGGCCGTTTTCATTATGGTTCAGATTTGGAATAGCTTATGCAAAGATTGTGTTCATTTTTATACAATTCTTTTTAACTTTAAATTGCCATCTGTGTTTTAAACATAATTCTGCACTTTGGAATCAGTTCATTAGAATGATAACATTTATATGGATAAAGATGCAGTATTCCTTATTCTGTACTTGATTTATTATACTTACCAAAGCTGCAACTGAATAAATCTGGTGAGGTGAGGCCTTCAAAATGTATTAATACGCCTTTGTTATGTTGTTATGACTGCTTAGAAATGTAGCCATGATGTTGTTCTAAAGATGTCTTAACATTTATAGTGAGGATTGACAGAAATTAAGCAGTGTTAAGAATACCAGCATCCATGTTACAGTCTGCGTATAAGGGACTGAATGTGAGGTAACTCTTATGAATCATAATAGGCCCAGAAAGCCTTAATATTCATAGTTCATAATCCAGTCTCAGATTTTGCTCTTCAATGTTGCCTGTAAACTTAGCAGGTAAATGTATTCTAGTATAAAACATCATTGACCAAATCTCTTCCTTTAGTTTTTCTGAGGTAGTGCATCCCATTAAAAAAGTCTCTTCAATTAGATTTGGCTTTAGTTTAGAAAGGGGTTTGGTAAGTCATGTCTTCCATATGACATTTCTACTCATCCCCACACTGCCTTCCACTTAACCTGTACAGACAGCCCCAACACATGCACATGTGTGTACACAACTGTATATGCAGCAGCCAGTGGGCTAACAAATATCAGCAAAGAACTTTTTTAAAAAGAATTTGTAATAATCCGTGCTGTCTAGAAATGTGAGTTACTTACCTTATTAGGAAACCGGCTTATAATACTATATATGACTCTGCCTGCATTTTATAGTTAAGAAATGTACATAAAAATTGCTATATTTTCACAGTTTCATTATAATGTCTGTTTAGTAACCCATGTCCACTGATACTTTAAATATGCTAATTACTGAGCAATTGCAATAGAAATCCAGATTTTCATAAGAAAATGAAATAGAAGGATACTGCATCTTTAAAAAATAGAGTGAAGATATTTTACTGTATTCGTAACATATGTGATAGTGGAAAAAGTATTTTCAAACTCACAAATTTTACAGAGGTTGTAAATAGTTTGATGAAGTATGTTGGGAAAGAGAGCTTCTAGTTTTCATCACAATAAAAAGAAAAAACTTGTTCAGATATGCCTTGTATATCTTACACACAATGAGTGAAATTGCCATGGGAACTCTGTCCAACTTTGTCAGAGCATGCTCTTCGTGTTCTGTTCAAAATAGAGTGGCCACTTGTCATGGTTTAGCCAGGATGGTTTAAAATATAATGAAGTCATTTTAAGTTGCAGACAACTGATTCCAAACTAGTAATGTCTTTTCCTGAAAAGGGCAAAACAGCTGCACAGGATTTTGCTTGTACTAAAGAGGAGCATCTTACAATTGTTCTCTTTTCTCAGTTATCTCCCTCCTCAACAGAGTGTGAACAACCATACAGGTGTTTATTCTTGTTTTATTCCAGGGAGACTGCTTTTAGGTATAACTACATGTTGACAAGATTAAGTGCTGTGGATATGGCCACGTGTTAAAGGAATCTATACTCGCAATAGGAATAAGCTAATGCCCATTTTCAGAAATAAATTAAATGCTGAAAGTGCCTGTCAGTAAACCTTATGACCAATGAGATATTCCTATACTTTTACACAGCAATAATTCTTAATAAGACTGGGTTTTTTCCTGCACATGTGAACACACACACACATACACACAGAGAGAGTAAATACATACACATAGTAAATCAAATCTGTTCACATGCCCACAAAAAACGCTTTTATAGCTTTCAAATATACCTAATCTTGTTTACATTAACATTTCTTAATTTGATCTTTCTAACTTGCAGAACGTTAAGAACACAAATCTGAACATTAAGTTTATCTTCAGTGAACACTATTGCATATGGTAATTATAATTTCCAGATAAAAAGTTGACTGTCATTTGCCCCAAACTTATGAAACAGTATGTATGATTCAAAAAGTTTTGCTCAGTTAAAAACACCAATTTATTTGGCGCAAAAGACTGAAGGATATTTGTTTGCTTGTTCATTTTATCCACTCATATCAAACGCACAAATTCATCTTTACATTTCTTCATTCCCCTTTCCCCTAATATTTCCTATTATCATCTTAAGAATCATTTTGGAATGAATATTGACAGAATCATTTCTCCCCAAAAAGTCTGTTGAAGTACCACTGACACTTAGTAAGCCTAGCCTTTAACCATCTTTGCAGTTAGTCCTAAAAATTACCAGATGCACATTCAGAAGCTCACAGGTTTTTTCCTGTAATTACTGTACTGCTAAAAGTGGAGTCATGGATAGAAATATACAATGAGACTATATGAATAGACATGAACCCTGGAAATTCTCCAACCCTGCCATCTCAGAGCACAAATTCACCCAAACAAGCTACTGAGGCTATCAGTAAAATTATACTCATGGAGAGTCACACATCGGGTAAGGGCAATTTTAAAAGTAGGACTGTGATTAAACATTCAGGCTTTAGACTTCCATGATGGACTCAGACCACAGGCCTCAAAAAAACATCCACTGTTTTCTCCTCCCAATGTTAGAAAGAAGAAAAGGGAGACGGAAATGTACCAGGATAAGGGGGTAAAATAACCAATTAAGTGTCAAAGGAAAGCTGCTGGGTTCCTTAATCTCACTGAAGTCAAGTCTTCTGACTGGGCTTCTTACCATGTGTTGTCTGAAAAAACTAAAGTACCTTGAAAGGTTACACATTCAGCAAACCATGAAGATAATAGCTATTCTTTATTAAACACTGTGTGCCAAGCAATAGACTAGGCAATTTTTAGATACGTTACCTGCAACCTGTACAACATTTCTACACTTTATGGATGGGAAACGGAGACATGGGAAGTGTGGCTGAGTTGTTCATGGATGTAGAAATAGTAAACGGCAGAGTAGGAAAGTGAAACCGCCTATCTCTGACCTGGAGGTCTGCCTGTATCTTTCCCACTCCACCACACTGCACGTGGGTGTCCCGAAACCACCTTCCCAGATTCCTGACTCTCAGTAATTTTATTATGGACAACATGCATGAGTAGTCATCATATTTTTCAAGTGAAATATCGGGACATGATATAACACATGACTTAACAATGGTACTGAATATTTGAAATCAGGCCTTTCCCGGAAAATCATGCATGAAGGATCATTATAAACAAACAATAGCAACCAGTTGTCTCCCCGAACTTGTCACTTTTCTCATAAATGTCTGGCCTGGAGCTCCAAAATCATCCAAATACTTAGTAGCATTTTAGCCTGAGTACACTTTCTCAGTTCCTCAACTCTTTGTATACCTTTCCACCAATATAGACATTCTAGAATCTGCTTCAGATGCATTTGAAATTTTCACCCCCATGGAACTAGTGATTAATATCAGAGCCCACTCTTGCAGTTGGTAATGGGGTGGCAATCAAACGTTCAGATGATGATAAAGGAGAGATAATGGATAATTCTTTTTCAGAGTTCTCACTTAACAGCTCTGTTGTGGAATGTTTTAAATAGTCTTATAAATAATTTGTTTATAGTATTGTTGTTAGTTTAATTGAATTTTATGTAAGAAGCTGTCCAACATCAGAGAAATGAAATTCCTCCCACTTTCTGTGTAGAACAAGGTCTCTGACAGTATTGATTCATGGAAGTACTAATGGACTTAGAAAACATTAAGAGAATGTCATTTCTCATAGTGTTTCTGTTTCTGAAAATGAATCTCCTGAATTATTATCTTTCTCCCTGTTACTTGGCTGGGGAAAGAGATAGAAGCTGTATAAACAAATTCTCTTCCATGCTCAAAGCAAGTGTTCCATGTGCACAACCTGCTGCAGACTGGGGCCCTTCTCAGTTAATTGGGTTTCACAAGCAATAATTTCTCCACAACAAAAACCACAACTTGAAGTGAGTTGAAAAGAGATCAATAGTGGAAACAGTCGCCTCAGTACTTTTTCTTTCTGGATTTCATCTCTAGAAATTTGAAGTGTTTGAGACAGAGTCCACCCTTTGTGCAAGGCGAGAACCAATGAATGGACTCCTTGTGTGAATTATTGCATCTTCTTCCAAAGCAGGTTCATCAAGACTTTCACAGAGATTCATTTTTGTTGAGAAGTAAGGGTTAATAGGAGGATAGAATTTGGATCCAAATCTAGTGATAAAAGTGTCCAAGCAATCAAAAAGTAAGATATTTTAGGGACATACCAACATCTTCCCTTTCTGCTAATTTCATGCTCCAAAGATATGGCAAAAAAAAAAATCATAAAAAGTGCTTTTGCCCTACTTGTGTTCTAGTTTTCCCATGGCAGAATTTTGTAATTACATCCAGAATATAGTGTATATTTTGTTCCTCAAACTTTATTACATTGGATGGATATTGTTGAACTGGGGCACTGGTGCCTATATTCAAGGCTCTTTCCTATCAACGTGTCTGTCCACGATTTGTTGTGTTTAAAGCTTCATTTTGAAAAATCACTGTCCCCCTGTGGGGTAGTGACTGTATTGTTTTGTTCATGTCTATGTGGGACACATTGCATCACATGGCAAACCAACTCTCTGTGGATGTGAGATAAGTACTTATAAAACCAGCTTGAAAACATCGTCTTATGTATTATGTCATCCTGCATCATAATGCAATTATGTGTATCATAACATGCTCATTTAAAAAAAGAGAAACCAGCAAATTCATGTTTGTCCATAGAAGAATGTACTCAGAACTTTGTGTTGTGAAACGATGAGAACAGACCACCTTTAAGATACCCACCTGCCACTTAAAATGACTTAGTTATAATTAGTAGTAGTCTAGACGTTGTTCTTGGTGTGTGGGGGTCAATTCTAACGTCATGTTCTTTTGAATAAATCTCTCAGTCATATTTGAAAAAAAAATACATGGGAATAAAGAAAAATATCATCTTTGGCCAAATCAAGCAGGCATCTTTTTTCTTTTCCTTGACGTTTAGCTCATTATACGTGGTGATTGGATCACGAGATCTGTCCGTGTGAAAATACAGAAACATCCTTTAGTTTACAAAACAGTTATTCTAGGCTTGAAGCCTCTGAACAGCAAATTGAATAGATGGGCTGCATCTGATTTGCTTTATGGATGTAATTTTACAAAACACTCTTGGGTCTCTGACCCCAGGGAGTTAAGAGTGCCCAGAGGAGGTCCTACACATTAAAGGATAAAGCCCCCCAGTGATGCTGGCAAGCAAATGTGTTGAGTTCTTAAATCTTCATTTGGTTTTCTGTTCAGGATTTTAATTGCAAATGAATTTATTTCTCCAGTTTATCTAAAGACCTAATTTCCCAATAGTTTCCTCTGCATTTATATACTCTGTAGTGTTTAGGCAACCCTGTTATAAGTTTATTAATATTATGTAAGTGTTGTTCTTGTATTTATGTATAGTGTATGTATTGTAAATATACTCAGAGCTTTTTTCCTTTTACTGTAAAATGGTGATTTTTTTGCCCTATGATAATGTAAAGGGAGACCCTCCTAATGAGATTCTCTCAGAGGATGATTATTCCAGTCTATTCTCAGAGATTTAAATGAACAAGTGTTATTGTTTTTAATGGTGTCTCAGACATATTCTGTTGGTGCATTGCTTTTCTGTATTCAACTTTCCTATGAATTGAGCTGTGAACTGAAATAGAGTTTAAACCTTTAACTGTATGCATTTGTATAATTATCTGAATGAAGGCATGAAGGTTAAATAAAGCATTTTGTATGGAACAAAACTCCCTAACTGACTCAGACACTTTGGAAATCATAGTTATTAACCATTCTAATTAAACCTTTGTTATGAAAAGTTTTACCATTTGTGTATAGTAATTTAAAACACGGAACAAAATAGAGTCTATTCTAAAAAAGCAACGTTTTTATTTCATAACAGCCAGCACCTAAGGAGGGATTGCTAGCTTAATATTTTAATGAATATAAAATTAAAAAGTAGTCCAGAGATGTCAAGTAATATGAAAAATGCATCTTTCAGAGTCCAGAATTGAATCCTTGGGGATTATAATTTCTTCCCACTTTACGTATCCTTTAAGTATGGAATGATTCATCTAACACCTGCTACAGTTAGCTGATTTCTGTAGATTTTTAAGAAAACTGAGTTATAAAGGCTTTTGAAAATAAGACCATTAATGAGTAGATTATCTTTAAGTAATTGCTCAAATAATCACTTGAAAATCTGTTTTAAGTATCTTTCCTAGTGTCTTTTAATCAGAGAACTAGAAAAACTCCATTCTACAAAGGGAATGGTATCAAATAGTACTAATAATTATATAGAATGGTGATAGATGATAGATAGTAATTTTAAAATAATATTTAAGTACTTCCCAGATGCAAGGCAATGTTCGAAGCATTCTGTTTGTTCCCTTTTATTCATTGCAAAAATCCTGAGTTCTATTACCAATGAAAAGGTGAGGCACTGAGTGTTGGTGACTTTCCCAGTCAGTCTGGTTCCAGGATCAGTGTCCTTAGTCACTAAAGGGATATGAGTGTATTATAGAGATGGAGAAAGGATGGGAGGTGGGGGCGCAGAGATTAAGGTGGAAGAGAGAATAGCAATGACTATCATAAAACATTCAACAAATACCTTTGATTATATATGTACCAATATAAATAAACCCAACAGAATACTATCCTTCATTTAATACTCAGCAAACCAGAGTGTAGTTTAATAACTCTGTAGTTTAATAACTCATACAAATCAGAGATGAAAATCGATTTTGGTTCGCTTTATCACTGACTCGAACCCATTTCCAAATGAACTCTGAGTTCTGTGAAATTGTTCTGCTGTATTCAGGGGAACTAGAGGGAGCCATGGGGCCGTCAGGCCCACTCCATTCCCACTGAAGCCTCCTCTTTTGCCATCAGTTGGGAGGCTAAGCGTACCGCTGTGTTGACGCTCCCCAACCCGGCCCTGCTTTGAGCACTAGGAAAGGATCTTGTGGGAGTCATTTCCTCTCGGTGAGAGCTTCACCTCCTGGGTGAGCTCAACACCAGCCTTACGGAAGAAATCACTGTCTAGAAGATTATAAGATTCTTTGAAAATCGAGGCCATAAATCATTAAGTACATGTTTACTCATTTTCTTGTAAAGATTTTAGTTGTGCCATTTTAGAAATATTCAGTTAAGGCAAGGGCCAATAAAAAGTCTATCTTGTTCTACTCTCTTTTGAAATGTAATAATACTTGCAAGGCTAAAATGAATCCATTCATTTACTTCATTTTGGATATGACTTTGTAAGCAAATGAATTGGACATTAGGTATTATGTCTTTGGCCTGATTTTCTGACTGTTCTTTGTAGGCCATACAAGCAGCCAAACCAGCTCTCCAGCTTTGTTTTTTATTTATTTTTCAGCTCACCCCGGGAGGCTTTGTCGTACAAATAGACCAATGAGGCAGATTTCATGGACTAGATCACATGATGTTATTTTTCCCTCAGGGTAATTTATTCGTTGATATTTCCTCTACCAGGGTGATTCTTGGATACTTCAATGATAGCTGGAATTACACAGGTGATAGATAATTCATTATCTCATGTTTTACCTTTACTCTAGCCGTTTTGCCATAGCCATGATTTCTAACCTAATGGTTTCATTGTTTCTTATTCTCCCCAATTTGAAGTCTACAAAAAAACCACACGAAATAGTTAAAAGTACAGGAGCAGCAATGTACTTCAGCTTAGAATGCCTTGGGGCTTTATCAGAAAAGAAAAAAATATTTCAGTGCTAGAACAAAATCATGCTCCCTAAAAAATTATTTTAGTCCCAATGGCCATGGAGGGTTTTCATACTATATAGTGCATTGTCTTCCCACCAAAGTGCGTGGTTTCCTTCAACACAATGAGCTCCTTGTGCTTTGTTCGTGTGCTGTCTGGATTTAATATATTTCTCTCCCAGCAGTGTAATAACTATAATTTACATCACTTCCTGTTTAGTCTAAATTCACCAATGAACGCCTACACAGCTCATACACTTGAGTGATTGTCTATTTCTGAAATAAATTACATTTTCCTTGTACAGGAACAACTTTTACATGATCTTTTTTCTTTTATAGTTTCACCATGTTAAGAGTGTGCTTGTGTGTGTGTATGTGTATGAGAGAGAAACCCAGTTTTATGAGGCCATGATGACATCAGCAATATGTGCTAAAAAACATTTACTCAGGAGAGCCCCAGAATTGTTTAAATAGGCATATAGTCATCAGAATAGCCCCCTTTTCTCTTATTGTAGCTGCAGTAAGTATTGTATTGCACAGATTGTAATCCATTATCTTGAAGAGGATTGCAAAGCACAGAAGGTCTGTGTCATGAGCTACTGTTATACCCTGGTCCCTCAGAGCTTTCAGTCTATACCAAAGACCCAAGTTGGTTCCAACATCTCAAGGGTGGCCTTGCCGCTGCCTCTGGCTGCTATGCCCTCTTAAACTTGGCCATGGCCAGGTCATGAGGTAGACGTGGCCCTGGAGGGTTAAACGTTATTGATCATCCCCAGGGTCCTGAAAGCTTATGTCAGTGTGGCCAATGCATTCTGTTGCTGAATTAGGGCCTGTGTACACTACTTCACCTTTCCTGGCTGATTTGGAGCCATTTCTTTGTAATTTGTTCAGCATAAATGAATACAGTCATTTGAGCACTGATATTGACCCTTTTGTATTATATGTATCAATATTATGCATTATCCAAGTGAGCATTCAAATTATATTTGATATATCTAAAACATGGAGGAAATGGTTAAGAAATTACATAAAGTCTATATTCTATTCAACCACTCGTAAATCTATGTTCTTATGGTTACTGATAGCAATTTTTATGTGCATAAAATAAGGAAAAGCACATGTTTGACTTATTACTCTGTAAAAAGATTATGCTAATTGATGTGTGGCATAAAGCTTTGTACTTAAGACATAGTCCCTCACCTAAAGTAAGTTATTGTATCCGATTAGCGTAGATAGATACATACACAATTTCTCTAGTATGAACTGTAAATGGATAAGCACCACCAGAACTGGCTAAAACGTGATGGAATTTTAAGGGTAGAGAGAATAGCTCAGTAACACAGGTAATCAGTCAGCCCCTGTGTCCCCTGAAATACACATTGTATGTAGATATTCAGATCCCTAATAACATGCCCTCTGGAAGATTTCTGTGAATTTTGAGTGTGTGTGCAACACTGGAGAAAGAGAGGCAGAGGTGTCTGCCTGATCACAATCACCTCATTCTCTTGGTTTATGGATCATTTCAAGTTGTGACGTGTGCTATCTCTGTTGTCCATCCTGTCAGCCTCTTCTTTGATTTGCACATGTGCCAACACACATGTAAGTTGTATATTCAGTTTGCAAACTGCAGTTTTGTGACCCATTCATGGCAATGAAATCCATGTAGTGGATGAAAGTGAGCATTTTCAAAAATTAAAGAAAGGAATGAGATGGTATAAGATGGGATGAAATAGAATGGAATGAAGCAGGAAGGAAGCGAAGATGAAGAAGAGCTTTTGTTTCAGTTCATTGTCCGTTAGCATGCATGTGACAGGGCGCAATGTAAAAAATAAACTTTGAAAGCCTCCGGTGGGGTGGTCTCTCTCCTCTCCTCCTGCCCACCTGCTCCCAAGGCAAGTCCAGGTGTGCTCCATCTCACATTGAGCAGAACCTCTATTGAAATGGTTAATTGTATGTGTCATATTGACTGGGCCACAGTGCCAAGATATTTGGTTGGACATTATTCTGGATGTTTCTGTAAAGGTGTTTTTTGAATGAGATTAACATTTAAATAGGTGAACTTTGAATAAAGCAGATGACCCCCCATAATGTGGGTGGGCCTCATCCAATCAGGTGAAGGCCTTATCAGAACAAAGACTGACCTCCCTTGGGCAACAAGGAATTCTGTCAGCAGACTGCCCTTGGACTTGAACTTGCAACTCTTCCCTGAGTCTCCAGCCTGTCAGCCTACCCCATCCGATTTTGGACTTGACAAGCTTCCACAGCCACATGGAGCCAATAATCTCTCGGTATGTAAGTGTAAACATATACTCTGTTGGTTTAATTTCTCTGGAGAACCCTGGCTAATATCTCCATCTGTCCATGGTTACTGAGGCTACTGTCCATCTTCCTGACCTCATAGTCTTGTCTTCTTCTCTACATGTCCCACCAAAATATTTTGCCAGACAAAAGCAGCTCCTCATAAAAACTACAGTTTGGAATGGAGATATTAAGGTCGGCTTCATGAGGGATATAACACTTGAGTGTGAAGGCAGCTTCAGTTTGGGGCTCAGATTAGATTATGTGTTTGGCTGCAAGTACTTCAACTGGCTTAAACAATAAGGGAATTGATTG
Source organism: Homo sapiens (assembly GCF_000001405.40). NCBI lineage: Eukaryota > Metazoa > Chordata > Mammalia > Primates > Hominidae > Homo > Homo sapiens. The sequence goes on along the minus strand of NC_000013.11, from coordinate 73,681,485 downwards.
ATTGCCATAACTGGAAGGCCAACAGTAGCACAGTCTCTTCAGGACTGATGGGTTCAGTGGTTCCCACTCTGCATCCCTGAATTTTGTCAACCATTTTCCTCTGGCAGCTTCCTGAATTATCAGGTCTCACACTTGGGTACAAGCATGAAAAAGGAAGAGAGAGACTTGCTCCCAAAAACTCTCCCAGGAGTGGAGACAGGAAGAAAACCCGTAGCTAACCTCTCTTCTAATTTTGTTGATCCAAATTCAGAAATAAGCACATTCCTTAGCCAGTCCTTGGCTAGAAAACCCTTAGACCAGGCCAGTTCCCTTGTGCTGAAAATCGGGGTCAACTTCTGAGACTCATGAGCTTCATAAGGGAGAAAAGTGGGGTCCAATGTGAGTTGGGGTTTTTGTTTTCTATTTTTTCTTTTGAAAAATGAAACACCTACAGAAAAGTTCAAACATAGGACAGTGAACGTCCCTATAGCCACCAGCTAGATTCACAGTGCACTGTATATACACATTTTTGTTCATGTGCAAATTGTGGACATCTTTAGACTTCTCCCCTGAATAGTTCGATATCTGTCATCTAAAAACAATGACATTTTTCTCATCAACGTTGTGAAAATGTCTCAATAATGTCCTTTATAGACGTTTTGTTTTTGGATCTAGATCCAAACAAGAATCACAGTCATTAGCCTCCCTCGCTTTCTTCCTATTCTCTCTGTTTATCTTTTAATTTTTTAGTTTTTGTGCAATGGTGGCCTTTCGTAATAATGACAATTTTAAATAATCCAGGCCAGTTGCTTTGAAGGTATTTTTCAATTTAGATTTGTTTGTATCCTCATGCTTAGATACAGATTAAGCATTTATTTTTTAACAGGAACATGACATAGAAGATGGGCTTTCCTTAGTGGATTGCATCAGGAGAGACATGATACAAGTTTGTCCTATTACTGGTAATGTCAAGTTTGATTCCTATTAAAAGTACCTTGTCCTTCTATGTGGGTTTTGTTTTGTCCTTAAGGTTTTATTACATCCTTCATCCAAGAAGACTTTGTGGAAGTTGTGTTTTTTGTTTTTTGTTTGTTTTTTTGTCTTCTTTTTAAGATAAATATAAGGCCAGGCTTGGTGGCTCACGCCTGTAACCCCAGCACTTTGGGAGGCTGAGGCAAGAGAACTGCTTAAGGCCAAGAGTTCAAGACCAGCCTGGGGAATATAGCAAGACCCTGTCTGTACAAATTTTAAAATTAGCTGGGCGTGGTGGCACGTGACTGTAGTCCCAGCTACTCAGAAGACTGAGGTGGGAGGATCGCTTGAGCCCAAGGGTTTGAAGCTTCGATGAGCTATGATGATGCCACTGCACTCCAGTGTGGTTGATAAAGCAAGACTCTGTTTAAAAAGTGGAAAAAAAAAAAAAAGGCCAGGCGTGGTGGCTCATGCCTGTAATCCCAGCACTTTGGGAAACTCATGCCTGTAATCTCAGCACTCCAGCCTGGGCGACAGAGCAAGACTGTCTCAAGAAAAAAAGATAAATATATAATTATTGAAGTAAAACATCCAAAGTCTAGTTCTTCCTTAACCTTTTACTTCAACTTACAAATATTATTATATTTATAAATCTAGCAAATCTAATATTTGTTTATAAGGGCTCATAACAATTAGATTCCCATCAACATTAAAAACTGAATTTGTAAATATTATCTATTTGCTTTCTCTTTTAAGAACTTTAACAAATTAACAACAAGCAGCCCCAGTAATTAAATCATTGTATAAATCTATTAAATTTTAAATATGGTGATTCTTAAATTCTCCTGAGTGTTCCAATTTTCCATGTACATTTTGTAAGATTTCAACCTAAAATTTTAAAAACGTAAATCATTGCTTAATTACGTATTTTAAATTAAATTCACAAGATTGGCTTCTAACAGGCTAAGTTCTCTTAGTTATTTCAGGTGTATAAAGTATCTGCATAAGTTCCTTACACACAGATGTTAACCCTATGATTTTTATTCACAAATATTTCTGTACTTAATTGGAAGTAGTCTTGTGATTAAAGGAAACAATTATGAAATTTCATATAGGGATTACTTTCTCAGGTGGTTGAAGTTGTATAATATCAGAGTTCTTAATTGAGATACTAATATAATGAAGTGAGCAGAATCCCATACTGCTTCTAAACACCGTGCAATGCTCAAGACGGTCTCCCACAACAAAGAATTCCTCTGCCCAGGGTGTCAGTAGTGCCAAGGTTGAGAAATCAGGTCCCAGGTCCTGTCAAAGACATTAGGTTCCCATAAGCAACCAACATTGTCCACTTTGATCTGGAGAAACAGCAGAATAAGCCATGAAAAAGGAATGAATGGATGAACAGCATTTGGAAGATGGCAAATCCCTGTTCTCTGTTTTCCAGCAATAGTCAAACATCCGTATTTGAACAAACCCACATTCCTGTCTCAAACTCTTATGCCTCAGCCCATACTGTTCCCCTGCCTTGAACACCCTTTTCTATGTGTCTACCTGGTGAATTCTAAATTAATCTTTACCTTCCCTGTGAAATCCTGCCTGAATCCATCATCCATCTAGCCAAGAAGTGATCAGCATTTCCTCTTGGACCTTAAACACACCACAAATATTGCCCTTGTAAGACGCTAAGTAGTTATCTTCTTTGCTAGATTGTGAGCTGTTTGAAAGTAGAAATTGTGCCTTGTTCATCTTCGAATCCACAGATCCTGGCATGTATTAAGCACTCAAAAAATATTTGATAGCTACATAAATGATTCAAATAATAGATAAGATTTAATAAGGAGAATAGAAACAATAAAGTTGGAAGTGTACTTTCTAATTAGATTACAGAGATCTAAAGGCTAAATTCTGGCCACGTGTGCTGGCTCATGCCTATAATCCCAGCACTTTGGGAGGCCAAGGCAGGAGGATTGCTTGAGCCCAGGAGTTCAAGACCAGTCTGGGCAACATGTTGGGACCCCCATCTCTACAAAAACTAAAAAGAAAATTAGGTGGACATGGAGGTGCAGGCCCATAATCCCAGCTGTTTGAGAGGCTAAGGTGGAAAGATCATTTGAGCCCAGGAGTTCAAGGCTGCAGTGAGTTATGATCACACCACTACCTTCCAGCCTGGACCACAAAGCAAGACCCTGTCTCAAAATAAAATAACATAAACCTAAATTATGGAATTTGGACTTTATTATTTAGGCAATACAGAGTTAGTGGTATTTTTATTTCTAAAAACGGATGTTCTAGTAAATTTTTTGAAAACTAAGTTATATTTTAGAGGCACCCACACAAACATATTGTTTCCTTAAATAAGCATAATAAAATAATTGATAATTTAAAATATATTCACATGTCAAAATTATCAGTGGGAGGCTTATCAAATTGTAACCTTTCACTGGAATTTCCCTGTCTATACACTTTATGACTACGTATGAAAGTCCTGTATTGTATCCGAAAGTTTCTGATCTAACTCTCTGCCAGTGACCACACTGATTAACACCAGATTACTATCTCATTATTTCAATCCACAAAGTCTTACCCTAATTAAAGAAACAAAACACATTTCATTTATTTGACTTTAACACTTTTACATCTTTCAGAAGAAAATCCTTAGGACAAATTTACATTAGGAAAGTGCTGAATTGATACCATACCTCCCATATAAGTCTCTATTTTAAATGGCTTTCATTTGATTATTTGATTATGGATTGGATTTTTGAAACATGATAAAGAATTTTGAAACTCGCAATGGCTTCTGGTATACAGAATTCACCGCAATCAGGAAATAAATTGTTTTCTTCCAGTAAAAAAAACAAAAGTTGCCTATCGCTCTTGCTGAGTAGGTAGAACTGTAAATGAGAAACTTAATTTTCTAGTCAGAAATGTTTTTTCTGAAGTCATAGCATTCACATGGATTGGTAACTTGCCCCTGTGACAGTCAGCACTAGAGGAGCAAGAAGGAATGACTTTATGCAATACTTCCTCATAGCTAGGGCAAGTGTGAACAGGCCACCCTCCTCACACCATTCATTGGTGTTTTCTTTCTGCTTCCAATATTCATGTATTTTTACTTTAAGATTGTCATTTCCTGTCTTTTGTGAAGGATTCCGTAATATTAGAATCACTCAGCACAGATGGGGCCTGAAAAAATGTTGGCATTTCCTTTTTTATTTTTATTTTTGCTTCATCTTCTACACGGATGTGGCTGTGTCATTATTCACATACATCCAAAACAATAGTCTCTTTTATATGATGTTTAACTGTGACGTATTTATCCACAAATATACTGGCTGTGTCACATGAAGTATTTACTTAGATGTTGTGTATGCGTAATGAACTGCTAAATGTGGGCAAGTTATTTTTCACCAAAACCTTGGGGAGCCACTCTGGTGATGTTTTCTTGTCCCTTATCTGAGGATTGTGATTCATAAAATGCTTGTCATCCATGTGGGGGAGGGGGTGGTATCTTCTGTGAATTTCTAATCAGTGGAAGGTATGCCTGTCTATTAAAACCTTAAGGACGTGCAAGATGACAAAGGAAATCTTTTGACTTCTTTTCACTGTTTAATCTCTGGCAGTCTGTGTATATAAAGACTATAGCTGGACAGAAAACAGTAATAAAGTCCAGAAGTAGATAAAAGCACAAAGAGTGAAACCAAAGTATTTGTAAAGCTCAATAAATCTGTTAACTAGAAGTTGCAGTTTTATCTTTACATACAGGTAAGTCTCAAGGTTAACTGCTCCATAAAGCTCCACGCAGGCCCTAGTGTTTGGCATCTCTTCACTACCTTATCAACTAAAGAAGGGCTCCCCCATTAGATTTCTTATAGTTCCCCTTCTCTAGAATGCAATGGATGTAAGCTTTCTCTGCCTTAGATTTTAGAAAATGTCACTGGCCTATTGGCATCAGTTCACAGATATGCATGTTTGAGGCAAATGTATAGAAGATTGAGAGTGGCCTCAGTCAGTTAATGATAAATAACGTGATGATGGCATTTTTGACTCCATGAGGGAGAAAAAAAAAATAAGACTTTCCACCAAAATTGAAAATGGATTCTTCTCCAGGTGTACCAAATGAACTAGGCAGAATGTTGTAACTGTGAGCATTTTTAGGATGGAGAGTTTAAGAGAGAAACTGTTGCTGAAATATGTTGGTAGAGCTACAGCCTTCGTCTTTGTTGACAGAAGGTTGAAGTCTGATATTTAAAGTGTTAGTGCGGTGGAAAGATCATTCACTCTAAGACCAGGTGGAAGTGGTTTTAGATATTGGTTATTCAGTTGGCTAGCAGAGTGATTCCTGTAAATGCCTTGCTGGAGAAGATGTATCTTAACACATGGGGTAAAAACACTGCTTCCCCAGGTGTTGTGAGACGTGCACAGGGTAACATGCATGAAGCTCACAGAGGGGCTCAGTGTGGAGCCTGGCACAAAGGCAGCCTTCAGGAAGGGCTTGTTATCATTCCTGCCTCCTCTTGGTCATAGAGAGAAAGAACTTTACTCCGCAGGAGGATAAATTCCGGAGGATTCATTCCTGCCACTCTCTGCCCCTCTGTGCTTCCTCCCCAAGACTGCAGGAGTAACTTTGTTTCATGCGCTGGAGTGAAGGAGCAAGTGTATGGTGACTCAGTCCCTCTACCTCTCTCAGAACAACTGACCTTGACTCCTAAGTTCTCCATCAGACCTAAAGCAAAGACCCTTGTATAAATATCATTGCTATGCAAGGCATTTCGGGCCATCTCCTCTTCCATCTCCTGGAAAGTGAACGTGATATTTGTGCTTGTTAGCATGGTCTCTACGATACTAGGACAAAGATCAGACCTACTTAAGTATGAGGCAGTACCTGGCTTCAGCAACACAGATTAACAGCTAGTTTATTTGGGAGGCAGCTAAAAATGCCCCTGTAGCCCATCTCCTCAGTAAATATATATTCCTATTTGTTCAGTTGGTGTTTGAAATTACATGTTAGACTTCATGCATTTGCCTAAGGCTTCTTATCATGTATTAATAAGCCTCAAAGGGCAAACATCACACCTTAGTATGAAGGTATCTGTAGATGTATTTGGAAGAGCAAGTTTGGATTAAGAGAACAAAGACAGTGAAAAACACTGACCTCCTGTTTGTGGTTAGTTGTGGAAATTGGGCATTATAGAAGTGGCAAGAGGTAGAGGGAGAAGTTGGTGAAGGTATATAAAAGAGGGATAAGAGTCTTGGAAACTAATCTTTACCTAATATATGGTTTTGCCCTGGAATATTCTGCCTGAGAAGTAAAGGGCTTCTTGTTCAACAAGCAATTCCCAGTAGAGTAGGAAGAATTTTCAAAACACACATGTTTTCACAAGAGTCTACACAATCTAATACTCAGATGGACTATTCCATCTAATACCCAGATGAAATAGCTGGATAAAAAATGTTTATTAAAGAAATTTCCTATAAATTGCATTAATAAAAGTATGTATCTTGTTTCAGGGTTCTGGGCAAATCAACCTATTTAGTTTTCACTACTCAGTTTGCTATCAGGAAACCACTATCAAATGCCAATTGAAAAAAAAAAAGAATCAATGGGGAAAAGACTAGAAATGCAAAAGCACAAGTTACGAGAATTGTAAAATACTTGGGTTTTTTTTGTTATGTTTTTAGTTTTTTTCTGCAAACTGTCCTTTCCTCTAGAAGGATTCATTGTCCCTCTAGGGTGTGGTTGAGAACAGATCAAGGCAGCAGAAGAATAAATAAAACCTTTTAAAAATTGCTAATGCCTTGCCAGGAATATTTACATTAGATATGTTGCATGTAAAAACAGATTATATATCTGAATAAATTCACTCTGTATCCTTTGCAACTTCCTAAACCACTCTATCATTTTGGAAGAGACCTTTTTCTCCCTGTCGTTGAACATAATATTAGGTGTAATAATATTATTGAGCTGGAATTCAGTAGGGTGAATTTTCACAGTGTAGAAATTCATAGCAAATGATTACTTTTCAGGTATGTAAAGCACAAATTTATTTGGTATACAAAAATTCAGTCCCCCCCAAATATCTCTTCCTACATTAAATAAAACCCCTATGCCATATCTAAAATCTCTATGCCCTTCTCTTTTCTTGCCAGTTTCCTCAAGAATAATAATCTTGTCTTTTTCATCTTTGTATCCTTTATATGCACCTTACCCCAAGCCTTAAGTGACAAATGCACTTACAAACAAGAGCCAACATTTTGGAGGCATTTATCATATACCAAGCACTATGCTTTGAGCTTTACCTTATTATAATTACTTTTATCTGCTCAACAATCCTGCTATCAATATTATTGCCGCTTACAGATAAGGAAGCCGGTGTCCACAAAGTTAAACAAATACGTCAAAGGTCACATGACGAGCAGGTGGGCCCAGCACTTCGCCCATGTTTTAACCACTATATGCTAAAGAACTCATCTATTACAGTTGTTGAGTTGTACAATAAAGAAAACACGGCTGGGCATGGTGGCTCACGCCTGTAATCCCAGCATTTTGGGAGGCCGAGGCGGGCAGATCACCTGAGGTCGGGAGTTCGAGACCAGCCTGACCAACTTGGAGAAACCCTGTCTCTATTAAAAATGCAAAATCAGCCGAGTGTGGTGGCACATGCCTGTAAACCCAGCTACTCCAGAGGCTGAGGCAGGAGAATCGCTTAAAACTGGGAGGCGGAGTTTGCAGTGAGCTGAGATCTTGCCACTGCACTCCAGCCTGGGCAACAAGAGCAAAAGTCTGTCTCAAAAAATAATAATAATTAAGAAAGAAAACACACACTCTCACACACACAACATTTTTTCTTCTAAGAAACATAAAAATATTATTGTAGAGGGAGGCTCAGGATTCAACTAGGCTAATACACCAAGGTTTGGTGCCCCACCCTGTGGCTTACTAACTTTGTTGGTCTTAGGTAAATAAGTCAAGCTTGTTGATTCTCTAGTTCTTTATCTGTAAAATGTGGCTAATGCACAGTAACTACTTCATTGGTCAATAGATCATTTAAATAAAATATGGTACCTACAGTTTGGAGTTCTGCTTATTTCTCTCTCACTTTACTCCCTTTCACCTGGCACATCTGTGCAAAAGTACCCTTTGTGACTCGAATGAAAGCAGAAGGCACCATTTGGGGGTGTTGTTGATGCTTATTTAATCAAAATATCTGCTATTTTTAATCGACAAATTTAACAAAGGAAGTGATATACTGAAAACTCTAAAACACTGACGGAAGAAACTGAATAAAACACAAATGGAAAGATGTTTTGTGTTCATGGATTGGAAGAATTAATATTGTGAAAATGTCCATACTACCCAAAGTGATCTACAGATTCAGTGCAATCCCTATCAAAATTCCAATCAAATTTTTCACATAAGTGGAAAAAACAATCCTAAATTCATATAAAACCATGAGAGACCTTGAATAGCCAAAACAATTCTGATCTTTTATTTGCAATGTGAGAAGCCATTTCTTATGTCAAGATGATAGATTTCTAAAGAAACTATTGAAATAAGTTAATACACTTTTGGCCAGACTTGCTATCTTTTCAGTTTAGATTGGTTCCTGATTTTTACCAATGACCTTTCATTCATCATAAGAGTTGAATAAACCCTGGACTTTCCCAGATTAAAAACACACATAAACCTGGAAGCAGCCACCACAGAATATCACTGTGTAAACATGATAAAATGCAGAAGTAGATCATTTACATTCAATGAGTAACAAGGTATTTGCAGGAATTAACTGTCCTTGACCAGCCCAATTCTGTTCATATGGCTTATGCTTTCACTTTATTGATGCCTATAAATAAACATCTCTTGTCTTAATGTGTCCCGGTTCAGCATTCAGCACACAAAAGGCTATATTTTATAGCTGTGGGCCTCAACTCAACCTCCAGGGAAATTGTGTGATTTCTTTCCTCTTGCTCAGCTTGGCATCTGCTATGGAGGCCTGCATTCCCGAAACTCTCGATTAGAATGAATAATTTGCTGCCTATGAGCCAGTTATCCACAGATTAGCCCTCTGAACCTTCTGTTCCTTTCGGCCATCTTTTTGGGGTTTTCATTACTTTGGAAAGTAGCTATTGTTCTGGGGAAAGAAATGAAACTAATAGCTGTAAAAGCAGAGGTTTGTGTGGGTGGCAGGGAGGGAGTAGGTCTGGAGACAGTTTCTTTCTGTTTTTGCCCCTGGATAATCAGGAGTTAAATATAAAATGCAAAGGCTCCCATGCTTATATTTTTTAAAAGAATTAGATCAGCAAAGATGGCGGTAAACTGTACCTACTTAAACTTTACCAAAGATGGAGGTAAAGTCTAAGTGGAATTTGGAAATACCCTAATAGCTCCTGGTTCCCAGACATGGGGCACTTACACATCCCACATATGGTGCTACTTGCCTGATAAGCATTGTCTCATCTAAGCCTTACATATCTCTGTGAGGAAGACATTACAATGTGGATCTTAGAGGTAACAATATTGAGGTTCAAAGAAGTCGAGCAGCTACCTAGAGACGCACGATGAGTAAGTGGCAAAGCTGAATTGTCTACTCCGAAGACCAGGCTCTTAATCACATTGATGCTATATATAGTCATCCTAGCAATCCAATCTTAGTCAAATCCACATTCTGGCCCCAGTGAAAAATAGCTCAATTTATACAACGTGCTGTTCTTACTCAGTAGTAAATCAGTGGCATTAACTAAGTTTACCTAGCTTTAATTTCCTACATATATGGCATTTTCCAGTTTTATTGGGGTGTTTAAAATTAAAGGAATTCCTTTAAGAACAATTATGAAAGGTTAGATGTTTATTTTTTAAAAAATAGAGATAGGTCTCACAATGTTGCCCAAGTGGGCCTTGAACTCCTGGGTTCAAGGATCCTCCTGCCTCAACCTCCTGATTACCTGGAACTATAGATGTACTTCAGGGCACCAGGCAAGTATTTTTTTTAGAAGCTAGTATATTTATCAGACAGAAGGACAATCAAGAAGTAAAAAACATAATTTCTGTCATAATGCATTTATTCAACAAATACTTATTGAGCACCCATTTTTTTTAAGCAGGCCTTGTTTAGACACAAGAAATGAAATAGTGTATATGACTGACTTACCACACTAAAAAGAAAAAAAAAACTGTAATCCTATGAGGAAGGCAGTTCCTAAGAAATAAAGCAGAATACAACATGAGAACAGCCTTGTATATCACATAAGTAGATGATGGAGGTGATGGGTACTTAATCTAAATTTGGCCAACAGGGGAAAGTATTGGCAATAGGTGACTCCTGTACTGACTCATCAAAGGCAAATACGGATCAGTCAAGGGATGGGAAAGGTGAGAGGGGAAAAACAAATGGATTGGTGTAGAAAAAGACTGAAAGCTCTATGGCTCTAGAGAAACAGCAAAAGCAATCTAGTAATGACTAGAGTATAGATCAATGGCCTTAAATTGGAGAAAATTAGAATAATCTGAGGCGCTCTGAAAACTCTCCAATGCCCAGGTCATACTCCATATCAAGTCAGAATTATCTAGAGGTGTGATGCAGATATCAGTCATTTCTAAAGCTCTCTGGCTGACTTTAATATGCAGCCAACTTTAGGAACCAGTAGTGTAGGGCAGTAGATACCAAAGAATAGCCTAGGAACAGGTAATATCAGCATCAACTAAAAATGCAAATCCTATCCACAGTATTGGAGGAAAAATCACAGAGCCATCAAAACATAGATTGCTGGACCCTACTCGCAGAGGTTCTGATTTGGCAGGTCTTGGGTGGGGCCTAAGCATTTGTATTCCTAATAAATTTCCAGGTGATGCTGATGCTGCTGGTCTGGGAACCACAATTTTAAGAACCCCCCAGTCAAATGCTTCTCAAATTCTAATGTGCATATGATCACCTAGGGATCTTACTAATATGCAGATTCTGATTCAGTAGGTCTAGGGTGGGCCTGAGGTTTGTGTTTCTAACCAATTCTTTGATGATCCATGCTGCTGCTCCGCAGACAACACTTTGAGAGCAAGAGGCCAAATAAGGAGAGAGGAAGATGAAACTGTATCATGAAGAGCCTGATAATGTTCAGAATAATTTCAAATCAGTTTTAAAAAATAAGGTAAGTCATGACATGTTCAGTCTTGGTTGGTTTGTCATTCGGCTTTGCCTTCCACAGCATCAATTTTAGCTTATTAAGGTGGTGGCCAGGAATACTCAAGGCCACATTTTTGTTGCTGTTGTTTACCTCAACATGAAAAGAGAGAACGCTCTTATTCATGGAATAAACTTCCTCATTTCGGTCTTAGATTGGCTCAACTTAGATACCACATCCACGGCTCCACCAGTAAATGTCTCCAGGCAAATGCTCAGCATTAATTGTCTCAGCCCAGGTTTCCCAAATCAATCATTGACAAGGGGCATAACATGATTTTCTGGACTAAGCAGGAGCTGCCTCTGAAGCAAGGGCCAATTCCTAAAACCACTTTACTGCTATACAGTAGGAAGCTAGGATTGGCAATGAATGCTCAGGAGTAAATCATAAAGAGCAACGTAGACCATGAATGTCTTGGTAAAGTATTTTTTCTTCCTAGGAACTGTTGGGTATCATTGAAAGATTTTTAGTCGAAAGGTGGTAATATCAGAAGTGACTTTGAAAAGAACACTTGGGTCTTGGAGTCAATAACTTGTAGTGCGGCAAGAAAGCCAATGAGGAAGATACTACATTTTTTAAGTGAATGGTGGTTTCATCTTAAGCCATGGCATTGCAAATGGAAGAATCTATAAGACTAGGTAATAATTTTATGTGAGTTAAAGAAAGATAGGACTTGAAGATTGCTCATATGTTTCTAGCTTTTATAAGAAACACAGGAGTGAAAGGTTTTGGCTGGGGTGAGAGGAAAAGGTGGGGATGGAGCAAGGGAGTAAGCTGGGTGGAAGACAATGGGTTCCATTTTAAGCATGTCAAGTTTGAAATGTCTAGGAGACTTTCAGACAAAATTTTCCAACAGCAGTTTGAACTACTTATATAAATCTAACCTCAATGTAAAGAACAGCGCTGGAAATTTAGAATGAAGAGTCTACTTTATAGATAGTGATGTTGAGTGTGAAAAGAGGCCAAGAAAGATCTGTGGAGAATCCCAGCATTCATGGGGAGCTCCAGAAAATGGGATATTCATAAAAGAGACCAAGAAGGGCCAGGTAGAGAATCAGAACACAGGAGAATGTGGTGTTGCAGGTGCTAACGGAGGAGTTTCATGAAGGACAACAGAAGTTCATGGTAGAGAATGTTGCAGAACACAATTTAAGTGCAGGAAATTGTTCAGGAAATTTGGCCAACATATCCTAATTGGATAATACATATTGAAGTGGATAGATTTAAAGTAGAGGTGAGAGATGAATGATTTGAGGTCGTGCAGCTTGCAGGTATAGAGAATCTTTCCATGTCCATCAGCTGTGACAGGCAGTGACTTAAGGGGAATGTGGGATTTCTTTTTTATTTTTTTCATTTTTTTTTTTAGAAAAAAAAGAACTAGAATTTCTTACAATCATTATACTATTGCAGTGGTGTTCTGGAGCCAGTTCATGATGGCTTATGAGAGGACAGCTTCCATATCTTACCAATTCTGTGTGAAGAAACATCACATTGGTAGCTTGAAATTAGCCACGGTAGGAGTATTTTCACCCCAGAAATTGGCAAATGCTACACATCAATGCTTCTTTCTTCTGGAGTGCCAATTGTTAAGTGTTTACCAGCACAAAGCTGCCTAAAAGTACAATTTTAGAAGCTGCAATGGATATTTTTCATGTTTTTTGCTGCCCAGCATTTCAACTTTTCTTGCTATTTGAGAAGCTCTTGATTTCAAAAATCCTGGGGAGGGACAGAGCCCCTCTTCCACTTCCAAAGTTGAAGCGATCCATGCCCTGGCTGCCAGGATTAGGACCACCATGCCATTCCCTTCTGGATTTTGATTCTGAAGAAAATGAGATGAATCAAAAAGGACTGTAGAGGATTCCTTTCAGCAGGGGAGGTAGCACCACGTGGTGTTCAGTGGCAGTGGTACAAGGAGATACTCATTGCAGCAGCAGAGTCCGTGTCAGGTATTTGAGTTTGGCTATGGTCATGACTTTCAAGTCTCCCTTGATTTTTTTCTCCTCTTCCAAGCCTATGTCTCTGACGTTCCCTGTCATTTCTAAGTGGTCCTATATCCCTTCAATGTATTTTTTTTCCTTTATACGTACATGTAGTACATTAGTAAATAAAACAGATGAACATCCTCACATCCATGGGGGTTACATTCCGCTCAAACAACCCAGAGAAATTCTCACTTGCTTGGATCTCAAACTCTGATTGCTAGCAAGGCATTCTCTACAAAGCTCAAAGATGCCCGGAGTTGTTACATCATAGTTGGTGCTTTAGGAAGCAGGCTCTGAAATGGAGTTTAGCTTGCAGAGGATTTATTAAGAAGTGTCCTTGGATCAACACCAATCGGAAGATAAAGAAGGAAGCAGGATTGGGCAAGGGAAAAGTTGAACTGTAAAGCAGGTCCAACAATAGCTTCAGCCAACCCAGGGGAGATAAGGAGCTAGAATGGCTCTTTGGAGTTGTCCCAAAGCTGGGCCAAGATCTTTCATCATTGATGTGGGCCAGCCCAGGGAAGGTGTGACCGTGCACAAAGTGGCTCTCTGCAGCAAAGGCAATCCCTGAAGGGGGATACAAGCTGAAGACTGTCTGCTGACAGTGCTCCCAGCAGCTGGGGAAACAAGCCTGTCCTTAAAGGGGGATCTGGGTGACACATCACAGTGTCCTTACACACTGTTCTAGTCAACATTCCAAACAGTTAAACAGTTAACAAACAAACAAGAAAAAGACATGAGATATAAGGATTAGAAAAGTAAAGAAACAAAATTCTCATTTGCAGTCAATAAAATTGTATACATAAAAAGCCAAGACATTCTAGAGTCACTACAACTTTATAAGATTACTTGATAAGTACCAACATGTAAAAATCAATATTCTTGTTTGACATCAGTAATAACCAAGTAAAAATCATAATGGAAAGATCCAATTTACAATAGCAATAAAAGCTCTAAATAGATATCAAGGAATAAATTTTAAAAGGATATTAAAATGATGTGAAGGATCATTATGAAGATGTTTAAGAACGTTACTGAAAGATATGAAAGAAGACTTACATAAATGGAAAGATACCCCCATTTTCAAAAAAGGGAAGACTCAATAGCTTAAAGATGCCAATTAGTCTACCAACTCAATGCAGTTACAGAATCCCAACATAATTTTCTCACTAGACTTCATAAATTGGTACTGAAATCCACATGAAGGAAAAAAAAAGCCTAATAATAGTCAATTCCAGTTCTAAAAAAATGAAAAATTTATCACAAATAGTAGACATGGAAACTGAATACAAATAATTTCACTGAAGAATCCACAAATTTAAAAGACTAACAATAGACTGGGAAAATATATTTTCTACATATAGACAGAAATTATTATACAGACGTATTTTAAACATCACCTATAAATCAATAAGAAAAAGACAAACACACCAACAGAAAAATAGACAAGATGTGTGAACAGGCAATTTACAGAGGAAAAAACAGAATGAAAAAACATATATTAAAAGACATTGTTCTTCACCAGTAATTGGGGGTAAATCAGAATAAAAATATAAAACACAAGTTTACACCCGGATTGGGAAGAATAAAAAAAAAAAGTCTGACAATACCACATGGTATCAAGTAAGCCGAAAACAAAAATCCTTCTTACTATGGAAAAGAAAATAGGTATAACTATTGGGGAGTAATTGTGCGACATCTAACAAAGTTCAAAATATACACAGCCTCTTACCCATATATTCTACTTCTCATTTACCCTAGAGCTGCAGCTCTCAGCTGAAGCTGCTCATTAGAATTACCTGTGAGGCTTTAAGAAACAGCTCTGGAAATTCTATTTTAATAGGTCTGGGCTAGAATCTTTGAGGACTGATGTCCTAAGAAACTGTCACACATGTGTGCAAGAAGACAAGGACATGTTTGTAAGAGCAAGCAAACAAAATGCTTATAACAAGGAAACGTCTAAATAAATTGTGACGTGTGTGGATGTGTACTAAGTATGTGTATGTGTGTACACAGACACACACACATAAATCAGAGAAAAGAGAGCTGAAACATGTTACATGTTAATAGAAAAATGGAGAGATCCAAGAGAGATAGAAGTTATACAAGAGAAGGACTGACTGATGAAGCCAGGTTCCTAATGTGGGAGGACACAAGAACTGCTTTGGAGAACGCAGCCAAAGCACAGGTGGAAGATTTAGTCTCCAGAAGATTTAGTTCAGCAAGAGGAGAGCATTTCTTCTACTTGACAAGGGTCAAAGAGTCAAAAAAAATAGGGAACTGCATTCATTCATTCAAATAGCCATTCATGGGGCACCTGGAGGTAAGTGTGCAGTAAAGGTTTGGGAAGTGAGAATGAAGAGATTCTGCCTGGGGTGGTCCATTTTCTCAGCAAGTCATCTGCTGAGGGCTGGGGAGAAGCAGTAAGACAGTTAGCAACGGTGTTTCTAGAACTCAAGTGTTTTTAATTAATTTTATTGTTTTTCAATTTACGTGTTGGTTAACCCAATAAAAGTGTTTTCATTTTTAAAATTAACCTTCTGTTTTTAATTTTTTTCAAGTCCAGAGCCAAGTTTGTTTTGTTTTGTTTTTTACTTGAACAGCTGGCATTTTGTAAACTATTGACAAGATAATCGTTTGCAAAGGAATCCATTTCTGTATGTCTCACAACATCAGACACACAGATGCATCTTTGAATAACACTACTGAACTAGACTTCATAGTTCCTTATACAATGACTTCACAATTACTCGTGGACAAAAACAAATTTATTTTTGGAATAGTACTGACATTTTCAGCTTTATTGGCATTTAAAAATGGAACCAAAGCAATTGAGTGTAAGTCAGAGGCAGACTCAAGATGAGAAACTGCACTTCCTGACTCAAAACTGAGGCCATGCATCTATTCCCAAGGGCAGACACAAAGGTTTGAGCTCTCTGAATAGATCAGCCAGCAGCTTATGGATAGAATATATTAAACAAAAGGCCCAATAATATGACTGCAGCGTTTGAAGGCCCCCAAAATGAGCAATTGAGCTCATTTTGGCATCAGCTACTTTATAAGAAAAGAAACTGTGAGAAAAGGGAGATCTAAAACTGTTCTTTCACTGGAGACCTATTATCAGTTGCACACACAGTTATTGAAGTTGCTCTTACATGCTACACCTGCAGCATTGTGTGAGATAATTATTTTATTCTTTGCGCATTAGAACAAACAGACCTCCCAGAGAGTAATGTGCGTTCTTATTTTTTTAATGGATTTATGGACTCAAAGTATTGAATACCAAATTTTCTGTGGGTTACTGAAAAGGCACAGAGGGATTCTACAACAAATTGGTTGTCAGAGTCCAGGCGCCTGTATCCAAGGAAATGGACTTAATTTAATCCAGGTGACTGGCTATTCAACAAAATCTTTTCTTAATGAATGGTACCTTGACCTCTACTTGTGGAGTCTCTTTCATGATCTACATTTCTTGCATCTAACTAGTCTTATTTTCCCACACGACTCTCCACAGTCTTACTATGATAGAACATCTATTAAAGAAAGAAAAGTTCCTTTGATGTTAAATATATCCAAGTGGCCAAGAAGAGGTAGCTATTCTCTGTACTAGTTTTGTAAAGATAATTTTTACCCCAAAATAAAGATTGCGAAAGGCAGTTCTTAGATTCTCAAGAATTTCAGTAGCAACACAGTAGTGACAAATATTAAAACAGGAAAACGTTTTCCGTCTCAAATGTGGAAGGCAGAATTCTCAAAATGGCCCTAAGGACTTCTTACCACTGGTATATACACATTATCCCAGTTATACAGTCAAACAATAATCTAGGCACTACCGTGAAGGAATTTTTCAGATATAATTCAATCAGTTGACTGTAAATTAGAGAGATTAGCCTGGCAGGGCATGATCTTACTAGGTGAGCTCTTAAAATAAGCCAGAGAGATTTTTCTACTGGCCTTAACGAAGCAAACTGTCATGTTGTGGAGAAGGACACATGGCAGGGAACAGTGTGGGAAGGGGGTTCTAGTTGCTAAATGCCTCAGTACTAAAACCATAAGGTCCTGAATTCTGCCAGTGGGTTTGGAAGAGGACCCTGAGCCTCTAATAATATCACAGCCCTGGCTGACACCTTCATTTCAGCCTGGGGAGCCCCTGAGCAGAGGACCTGGGTAAACCATATCTGGACTGCAGACCCACAGACACTGTGAAATAATAAATTTGTGTCATTCTAAGCCACGAAGTTTGCAAGATTTTGTTATGTAGCCCTAGAAAACTAATATGCAAAGTGAGTGCAAATCTACCTTCTTAGCTTGAAGGTAGAATATTAACTTTTTACATGGTCTTCCAGTTCCCAGAGCATGTGGAGCCAGCCTCAGTATGAAACACTCTTTTCAGAGACAGTAACTTCCAGTGGTCATCCATATAGTCCTGTTAAATACCTGAATGAGAGAAATGATGGAGAAGATCGTCTAAGACAGAATTCTCAAGTTTTTTCCGACCTGAATGCACGTGATGGATGAGATTCATTCGCCTTCCTGATATTCTCCCATGACAGTATACAGTTCAATTCCCACCCATAGCCTGAAATTATACCCCTTCCTGTCTCTGATTAACAAATCAAATGATTGAAAGCATCATTATAATAGTGGTAATAATCTTGAATCCACTTTGATTTATTTTTAAAGTAATTTGTTTTCAATTTTTGGAACTTTTGTTGCCAATACGCTTGTGACAGACTTCACAACTAATCGTTTCTTCATCAAAGCTGAAAGCTGCTTCTGCCTCTTTTTCTTTTTTACATTCAATGAAGATTGAGAAGTTTTTGTGTAAAGGACTATAGTAAGTACTACAAAAGTGACTTCCTATGTTTGTTATCCAAAAAGCCCTACTAATTGGATCAAGAAAACCTGTGATTACCAAGTCCTTTCCCACCTATAAACCCCTTACCACACCTTTCTTAACTTTCTAGGCATTTCTTGTTCTATGAAAATGCAAGTGGGCAGCCAGGAGCGGTGGCTCATGCCTATAATCCTAGCAGTTTGGGAGGCCAAGGCGGGCAGATCACTTGAGGTCAGGAGATTGAGACCATCCTGACCAACATGGTGAAACCCCCCTCTCTACTAAAAATACAAAAATTAGCGGGGCGTGGTGGCTCGCACCTGTAATCCCAGCTACTCGGGAGGCTGAGGCACGAGAATCGCTTGAACCGGGAGATGGAGGTGCAGTGAGCTGAGATCGCGCCATGCACTCCAGCCTGGGTGACAGAGCGAGACTCTGTCAAAAAAAAAAAAAAAAAAAGAAAAGAAAACCAAAAGAAAACAAAACAAAACCAAAAATGCAAGTCAGCAACTTTAGGCTATAAGCTTCTTGAAGCTTCTCTTATTAGTCCCCAGAACATGCACAGTACTTGATAAATATGGTTTTGAATGAATAACTGACTGGCTAATGGAAAGTGTCCTCTCCCCAGGAAGGTCTGTTCAGAGATTTCTGAACAAGGAAGAGAGCTAGTTATAACCTCTTCTCCTTTTTCTTGTGAACTCAAGAGTTGTCAATGGAAGGAATAAGAATAGCAGAGTACTTTCAGAGCAGAGGGCTGCCAACCAGAGAATTGCTCTAAGTGTGGTGGTGTCTTGCCAGTCCCTAGATAGCAAGAGGGAACTGGGTGCCTAGGAAAGGTCACTGGGAGGAGACATTAGGAAGTGGAGGAGTGTTCTTTCTCCATTCAGGTGCATAGATTTAAGGTCGGCTGAGAAGAAACACAGCCCAAAGGTTGGGTTCGAGGACAGGAAACCTGGCTGGAAGAAAATCAGACATGAAAATTGGCTGGAAGGAATATGTTTCAACGACTCATCCACCAGCTGTTTCCTCACTTTCCTCACTGCATCACTGGGTCATCCTTCAAGTAGGGGCGTTTGGAGCTGGGAGAAACCCTAAAGAAAGTTTTTTTTCGATGAGGATCATGGCTCCATAAGCCTCATTTTTTACAAATGCCACTGGAGCCAAACTCTAGGGGCAGGGCGGGTTTAACCCCAATCTCCCAAATCCCACATCCTGGGTTTCCGAAAATGGGGCGTGGCCCACATGTAGCAGAGGTGCAGAGAAATACAGCCCCCAGCTTGGCTGGGACAGGATGGGCGTGGTCATGGCCCATTGCAAGCGGCAGGTGAAGTGCCTGGGCGAGGTCTGGGCAAAGGGAAGTGGACGGCCCAGGTGAAGAGAAGCGAGGCAGAAATTAGGGAGGGGGCGTGGCCGATTTAGAGAAGCAATCAGAGTGAATAGGGCGTAGCTGTGGGGACAGGCGTGACATGGAAGAGCATAGGGGCCAGTCAGGGAGGAGACCTTGGAGGGAGAGAAATGGAGGGTGCCTGAGGGGGATGTGCTAAAGCCAAAGCACATTTGCCCCCTCCCAGCGGGTAGGGGAGTGGTGGAGGCGGAGCACAGAGGTGTGGCCTGTCAGAGAAGGCGTTGTTACGACAGCACAGAGAGTACGGCCCTAGGAGCAGGACCCTGCACACAGCTGAGCTCAGAGGCTCCAGTCTGGCCACGAGAATGCAATGGGAGGTAAGGAGTGACAAGGAGAACAAAAGCAGCTTTGTCCTGGTGGTGGTGGTAGGGCCAAGGCAGAGCGCAGAGGTTTGGCCTGGAAAAGAGGGTCATGGTGGTGTGGGTAGTTGTGGCCCTGCCAGGAAAAGCGTGGCTCTGTGGAGCCAAAGGGCCTGGTTTCAGGGCGTTGCCATGAAGAAGCGCAGGGGCTTAGTGAAGTCATGGCCCAAGCCAGATTGTAGAGGGGTGGGTGGCTTTGAGGGATGGTGACCCAGACGGAGCACAGGGGCGTAGTCATAATGGACCAGATATGGCTTCCGCAGGAGGAACCACACGAAACACAGAAGGCCACTGACTTATGTGTCTACCACATTCCTTTGTCTCTCCAAAAAGTCCCTGCTTCTTCCACAGTCTTCCAGAAGCCCCTGTTCCCTCTCATAATTGCATGACTCTCCCACAATTCTTAGTGACTGTGATGGAGTACAGCAGCAGGCCCATCAATAACTGCAAATGTGGCTCCAGCAGGAGAGGCGTTGTGGGGCAGGAGGGGACGTGGTCACGAAGGAGCAAACATGGTGTGGCCTCGGAGAGAGGGGCAGGGCTCTGCCAGACCGTGAGGGCGCCGCCAGACCTGACAGGGGCGGACCCAATAGAAAAGCGGGTGGAAGAGCACAGGGTGAATTCTCTATCTCATCGTACTTTCTTTCCTACAATTCACTATCTCACAGTGTTCTGTTCTCACCCACAATTCTGTTTCCTCCCACAATCCTGTGCTCTCCCACAATCTCGTTCTCTTCCATAATCCAGTTTTCTCCCACCATCCTCAGTGCTCTCCCACAGCCTTCTCTGCCCTTCCACAACCCTCCCTGCTCTTGCAGTCCTCCATGTCCTCCCACAATTTCTGTGCCCTCTCACAATCCTCCATAATCCAGTGAACCTCTATGGTCTCCCACAGTTCTCTTTGCTCTTCCCAGAATTCTCTGCTTTCTCCAACAAGGCTCCATTCTTTCCCACAATTCCCTATCTCTCCCTGAATTCTTTGTTCTCCCCTTTAATTGTATGTCTTCCACAATTCTCTGTGGCACCTCACTAGGGGTTGTGACTCTAAATGGAAAGTGTGGCATTAGAATTGCCTGGGAGAGTGGCCCTAGCAGAAGAGGCAGCTTTGCAGCGTTGCGGGGTAGGGTGGAGGAGCATGATGATCTTGAAGGGGCGAAGGTGGCTTTACCAGTTCAGAGGAAGTGCTCAAAGCTGAAAGGAATCCATCTTCCCTCCCTTTCTCCCTCCTACCCTCTTTTCCTTCTTTTGAAAGCTTTTGAGGAATAAATCAATCCTTCCTTCTATCCACCCAGGTGTTCTAAAGTCTATTCTTTTTGTATTTGATCTTGAAAGGCTATACATTTGAGATCATAGGATCACTTCTATATTTAATGTAATTAGGCCCAGACTTTTCAGAGGGATTGAGGTTCTTCGAATCAGCTGTATGGAGACTGCACATTTGTGGGAATACTGTTGTTGAAGACAGTTACTTTTTCTCTTAACAAATATCTATTGAGTACTCTATGCCAGGCACTGAGTTAAGTGCTAGGGACAAACTGATGAATAAAACACACTCTTATGCAAGAAAGTATGCTGTGATATATAGTAAGAGTTTTAATAGAAGCACATTAAGGGTGCCATGGGTGGCCTAAATCAGCCTGGGAAGTTCAGGCATGTTTGAACTGTCTTGAAGAAGCAGTATTAAGTGGGAAGACTTGAGAGGGCGCAGACAATGAGGAATGATAAAAGGAATTTGGAATGCAGAGCATGAAGGCACACTAATGTTGACTACTCAAGGATGGTTAAGTAGATCAGTGTGGCTGGAGAATAGAGAAAGCCGAGTGGTGAGTAGCGGGAAATGAGATTCCAAACATGGATAGAGGTATGTGATCTTCGAGATAATAGGGAGTCATTGAAAAATTTTATTCAGGAGCTAGGCACAATTATATGTATTTTAATTATACAAAGGTCATTTCTGAAGAAGTTTAGAAGATAGGTAGGAAGGGATGACACTGGACTGAGACAAACTGGTTATAGGGTGAGCCCAACAGTTTATGTAGGAAATGTTGAAATCCTGAACTTCATACAGTGCAGTAGTGAATTGTATGAAGAGAAGAGACATTTCAGATATTCAGGGTATTCTTATTGTCCCCTATATAAAATTTTAGAGAATCGTTGTCGTGAGTTGGAAAGGGCATGGATTTTAGAATCAGAAATTTAAACAGTCCTCAAATCAAATTTTAGTTCCCCAAGTATTAGCTGAGTAGAGAAATATCTTGTCTTCAGTT
This sequence comes from Homo sapiens, assembly GCF_000001405.40. Taxonomy (NCBI): domain Eukaryota; kingdom Metazoa; phylum Chordata; class Mammalia; order Primates; family Hominidae; genus Homo; species Homo sapiens. The sequence goes on along the minus strand of NC_000013.11, from coordinate 73,659,508 downwards.
TCCTTATCCACAAAATAGGAATAATAATGTCTAGCTCACAGAGCTGTTAATAATGAGCAATGTGTATAAAGTGCTTACCACTATGTTATGGACTGAATATTTGTGTCTCTTAGAAATCATATGTTGGCTGGGCATGGTGGCTCACCCCTTTAATCCAAGCACTTTGGGAGGCTGAGGTGAGAGAATTACTTGAGGCTAGGAGTTTAAGAACAGCCTGGGCAACTTAGTGAGACCTCATCTCTACAAAATATTTCAAAAATTAGCTGGGTGTGGTGTGCACATCTATAGTCCCTACTACTTGGGAGGCTGAGGTGTGAGGATCACTTGAGTCCGGGTTGTCCAGGCTGCAGTGAGCCATGATGGCACCACTGCACTTCAGCCTGGGTGACAGAGTGAGACCACCCCATATGATGGTAGTAAGAGGTGGGGAGCCTTTGGAAGCTAATCTCGCTTTCCACCATGTGAGAATGTGAGAACTTGGTGCTCTACAACCAGGAAGAGGGCCCTCACCAGAAACTGACCATGCTGGCACCCCTTCTCAGACCTCCAGCCCCCAGAACTGTGAGAAATAAATTATTTAAACACCAGCCTATAGTACATGGTTATAGCAGCCTACTAAGCTAACACAGCATAGTAACTAGAACTTTATGGTTGACTTATCTTTATGTAACTCATATATAAATGGTTCACTTTTTTTTTTTTAGGTTCCAGGAAGTTCAGAGTTGAATATAATACCAATCAACCAAAATCACATAGACCTTGGGACTGACATATATGCTTTCTCTATCTTTTACTATTTCTATGATATTAACTTTACTGAGTGTTCAGTCCTTTGCTGTAAACCACCTCATATTCTTTTGGAGAAAAAGGTAAAGAAGAAATGGATGGGTAGATAGATGTCAATATTACCCCAAAGTTAGGGATTTAAAACAACAACCCTTATTTAGCTCACAATTCGGTGGGTCTGCAATTTGTGCTGGGCTGGGTTCAGCTACGACAGCTCATCTCTGTTGCAGTTAGTGGCGGCTGGGCTCAGTAATGCTTTTGTAGCCAGCTGGCAGCCAGCATCCTCACTCACAATTTGGTTCCCTGTTGGTTATTGGCAGGGGCTAGCAACTGAGCTAGTCTAGGCTGTTTCACATGGTGGTTGTTGCAGGGTTTCCAAGATTAACAGAAGAGGGCTATTTCCATTGTAAGCACTTTTCAAGTCCCTTCATTACGTTTGCTAATGTGCCACTGGCCAAAGCGGGTAACATGGCCAAGTCTAGGCTTAAGCAGTGAAAAAAATAAACTCCATCTCAGATGGGAGGAGCTGCAAGTCGTATTACAAATGGATGAGAAGGAATTTGTGGCTTTTTTTTTTTTTTTTTTTTTTTTTTTTTTTTTCACAATCGCCACCATCTGGGCTAGCTTAGGTTCTTTCACATGGAGTTTGCTAGACTAGGTTTCCCTGGCTATTATCCAATAACATTTCACCACTCATACTCCCACTATTTGAGGATCTCCAGCTTCCTGCAAAGTCCTCAGAGTCCATCTCTAAGAGTCTCCAAAGAGTACCTCATTGTTCTCAGTTGCCTCCTACTTAAAGATATTTTCTTTTTGCACCAGCCTCCTCTCTGCTCAGTGGGTGCCCTAGATCTGCCAGATGCTGCTCTCCTCATGAGTATTTGATTTTTTTGCTAACACTAGCTCCTTTACCACTGATGCAGTGGAGTCTTTGAGGCACTAAAGTTACATAGTGTGTTATAGCACTGCTGGGAGAAAACCATTCTTCCCTTTTCCCATTACTCTTGGCTACTAGTACTGCTCATGCCTCAGTGTCTCATAGTATTTTGAAAACACACTCTCTTTTTAGATTTTTCATATAGCCCACCACTCCCACCAATCACAAGTTCATTGGCTATAGATTGAAAGTTGTGAGGAATACTGACTCAAGATAAATCTAAGTTTATAAGAAATTCATCTTCAGGTTGCCCCATCCAATGATTAAGGCCTGTTGATATAGTTTGGAGGTTTATAGTTTGTCAAAATGTGATCCCCAAAGTTGGAGATGGGACCTATTGGGAGGTGTTTGGGTCATGGGGGTGGATCCCTTATGAATGGTGTGGTGCCCTCCTCATAATAATGAGTGAGCTCTCACTCTACCAGTTCATACATGGTCTAGTTGTTTAAAAGAGGCTGCCACCTCCTCCCTCTCTCCCTTGTTCCCTCTCACCATGTGACACATCGGCTCCCCCTTTGCCTTCCATCATGACTGTAAGCTTCCTGAGGCCCTCAACACAAGCAGATGCTGGCACCATGCTTCTCATACAGCCTGCAGAAATGTGAGCCAAAAGAAACCTCTTTTCTTTATAAATTACCCAGCCTCGGATATTTCTTTAAAGCAACATTAATGGACGAATACACTCATCCACCTGACTCATTCCTTTATTGTGAGCTTTTTCTCTCTATAAATTCCTTAAGATAACATCATCAGTTCACCAAGCATAGTCAGAAATGACTGAATCTTAGTGAAGGAAAGGAGTTTCCAGATGAACTCCCTACTTCATTTGTTTTACAAGTAGTATTGCTAGTATTACTATTATTACTACCTGTACCAACAGCTGCCACTTATCCATACAGCCCTGTAAGACAAGTGCTATTATGGTCCCTAATTTGTAGATGGGGAAACTGAGGCTTAGAAAGGTGAAGAAAATTAGTCTGTATCTCAAAGCAAGTACATAGCACAGCTGGGATTTGAACACAGGCATACTGACACCAAAGCTCATTCACCTAATGGCCTCATTATATTCCATCCCCTACGTGTAAATCATTTTACTAGGTATATATTTCAGAGTTTTTGCTTTAAAGGTTAGGTATTATGAATACAGTGCTGAAGAGCAGATATTTCTTTTTTTTGCTAACAGAGGAGAACTAAAACCAACTCTGAGTGAAGAAAGGAGTGTTTAAAAGGAGAGAATCACAGGCAGTCATTGTAAAAACTGGTACCTGCCTGGCTTTAAGGCTCTATACCTTGTAATATAGTATAGTATAGTAATTTAAAACATGCTACTAGTATGTTTATATTACTATAGTACTAGTACACTAGTAGTATAGTATAATAATTTAAACATGTGTAGCCGTAGATGTGATGGCCTTGCCAGAAAAGAAAGGGAAGGAAAAGGAACTATTCAGGACACTCCTCCAAATTTCAAGAGTGTCAGGTGGTACAAAAGAAAAGAGCATGAGACATGAATTCAGATTTTCTTGGGTCCAAAAACTAATTTTTTCATTACATGTTGTACTGTTGAGTGAGTCATTGAAACTTCACTCTTCTCTACTGAAAGATGATATGACCTTCCCCATTGAGTTGTGAATATTAAATAAGTTAATGCATGCAAAGCATTTTAGCTTAGTACGTGAACCAGAATATGTTCCACTCGAGAAACTACAGCTATTATTATAAACGTTAAACCTTTTGAAACAAGGTGGAAAAAATAAGCAATTATTCTAATACCAAATGCAACTACAAAGTTTACAGCCAATGAACACTGCTTTCTTTCTTTTTTATTTTTATTTTTAGACAGAGTCTCTCTTCATCCCAGGCCGGAATGCCATGGCGCAATCTTGGCTTACCGCAACCTCCGCCTCCCGGGTTCAAGCAATTCTCCTGCCTCAGCCTCCCGAGTAGCTGGGATTATAGGCATGCACCACCACGCCTGGCTAATTTTGTATTTTTAGTAGATGGGTTCTCTCCATGTTGGTCAGGATGGTCTCAAACTCCCAACCTCAGGTGATCTGCCCTCCTCAGCCTCCCAAAGTGCTGAGATTACAGGCATGAGCCACCGCGCCTGGCTGAACACTGCTTTCTTTCAACATCACTACTGTCATGGTCACTGTGTTCCTAGGCTGCTTCCTATTTCCTCTTCCATATTTTTTTTCCAATCCTCACATCATCAGGCTAGTTTTTAGTTGCGCTGAGATCAGGACACTTACTCTTTTTCTTTCCTTCCTTTTCTTCAAGTACTATCCCGTAAGTCCTTCTTCTGGTGGTAACATTTGTCCTGGTTTTTGAAGAATTTCAGTAGGTAGAGAATGTGAAAAATCTGAACATCGGTGATATTTGCAGACTGGTGAGCTGCTTGATGTGTCTATCACAAAATAATGCTGGTGGGAATTTTTTGTAAAGGCAATGAAGGGTAAAGTGATAAAGGACTAAGAATTCTACAGTATGAAATGCAGATTTTACCATAGGCAGTGGAGGCTTTTGAAGGTCTCTGAAGAGGCAAATGCATGACATGTGTATAATAGGAAGGTAACTTTGGCATAGTGTAAAGATTAGATAACAATGAATATTGAATTTGAGTAACCAGAGACTGGTAAGCTGAGATGACCTGAGCCAAGGCAGAACAGTGGGAATGGAGAAGACGGGATGGAGCTAGGAGGCATTTGCTAGCATGAATACACGTTTGTCAAATATTTATAAAATGTCAACTCCATAGCAATGAATGTTCTAGGTGCTAGAGATACAAAGTAGACATGATTCTGTGCTCAGCATCGACGTTCGGTGGTAATGAGTGCTCTGGAGAGTAATACATTTAGGAGCACCAGGTAGGAGCCTCTCTCTTAGGAGGACATTTAGAGTGTGTATTTCTAATGTGGTGACACAAACAAGAAATGGTGAGTGAGCAGCCTCGGGGACATAGCAAGGAGACATTTCTGGGAAGAGGAGCTGGCAGGTGCCAAGCCATAAGCTTCAGTGTAATTCACTGGAGCAGCAAAATGGTTAGACTCTAGAACAGGGAGGAGGAGGGTGATAGACATAGGAGACAAGCTGTGAGAAGACTCCTCATAGCTTGAGAAGAGGAGCTATGAGAAGCTCATATGAGAAGAGGAGACAAGCCCTCTAAGAACCAGGGCTGGTTCTTAGAGGGCTTTGCAAGTCATTTACAGGACTTTTTTTTTTTTTTTTTTTTTTTTTTTTTTTTTGGCTTTTAATCTTAGTATGATGGAAGCTTTTTTGCATGTGCCGTGATTCATTTATCATAACTAGCTTGGCCATCCTTACATACGTAACTTGAACCTTGAAACTTTCCCAACCTCAATTTTTTCATGTTTAAAATAGTTATAAAATGATGAACTCTCTAAGTCTGATATAAGCATTAAGTGACTGTTGAAAAGCACTTGGGTGTTGACTGGCTGTGGTGATTGAACAGGTCAGACAGCAATGGTTTTTATGTTTCCAGCCTACACAACTAGGTAATCGTGGTATTTTCTGGGAGGAAACACAGGAAAAGAGCCATAAGGGTGAGCAAGAAAATAGTGAGATGATTATGGATTCTATCACGCTGTGTGACCTCCAGGTGGAAGTCTCTGGTCATGGCTGGTTCTGTGGGTATGGATTCAGGAGAGGGGTTTTGCCTGGAGATATGGGTTTCAGAGAGCAAAGGCAGAGAAGTAGCATAGTTAGTATCTTTTTTCACATCTTGCTCTTATGCATGAAAAAATCTTTTCTCCACTATCGCTACACAATTGTCATTATTTCCTCAAAGCTGAAAGAGAGGCTCATTAAACTATAAAACAATCCTATATACATCATTCCAAATCCTCGTTCTTCTATTGTAAGCACAAAAACCTGCTTCTGTTTGCCTCTCACTCTATAGGGCCATAAAACATGTCCTGGTGGACATCTGGTGGCAGAAAAGGCTTGATGGACTTGCCCTACTTTCTTTTCTTTTCTTTCTTTTTTTATAGATAAGGTCTCACTCTGTTACCCAGTCTGGATTGCAGTGGTATGATCATAGCTCACTGCAGCCTCAAATTCCTGGGCTCAAGCAATCCTCCTGAGTAGTTAGGACTACAGGAGTGCACCACCATGCCTGGCTAATTTTTGTAGAGATGGGGTCTTGCTATGTTGCCTAGGGTGGTCTCGAACTTCTGGACTCAAGCATTCCCTCTCCTTCAGCCTCCTAAAGTGCTGGCATTACAAGTGTGATTATGTGTAATAGGGCCCAGACACATGCCCTATTTTCTATAGTAACTTCCAAGTCCCCCCCATTAGGTTTCCATTGGTTTATTGCTATTTTCCCGATTCTCTTTGTGCCTTCCTCCCCTTTAAAGTGGACTCCCAGGAACTATACACTTCCTCCATTATTCCAGTTGCAATATTATTGTCCCTCATTTTGATGAACTTGCTTAGATTTAATTGATTCTTAATCTTGTAAGTCGCAGCCATTCAAATACACATCCATGTGTATTTAAACATTATTGCGTAGTGACATCACCTGCCCAAGAAACAAAGAGGGGGATGTCCATGAAAGGGTCCCTTTCTGTACCTTTCCCAGGCATTATTCTCAGAATGGCTTGGAGGAGGATCCAGGAAGCCCATAGTCGGGAGCTGAGGGGGCAACTGTGTCCACTCCTACATTTCCCACTCTGAGAGGGGGGATGCCACACCCTCTGAGAGTATCGAATATTCCCTACACTACTGTAGCTTTAGGCCCTCTACATGGAAAACCTCAGTTTGCCTAACAAAAGCATTTCCTGGCTTGAACCATGATAAGTATCCACACTACCTTTCTTATTTAGGTGGGCCCTGTGATTTCCCCTAAACCTCCATCCCTTGAAGTCACGTGTCACATCCAGTCCCCAGGAATCCCAAATAGATTGTACAGCCAATATCTATCTGTTCCTAATACTTCCTTCTGTCTTTTTGTAACCCTTCACCCCACCAACCCCAACAACACTCCTCAAGTCAGAAGACTGGGCATATTCATCTTTTTCCCATTTGCCATCAAACAGAGCAGCTGAGGGTGTGGGAGGCAGTCAGGCAGCCAGCAGGAGAAATTCAGCCGTGGTGTCAGACTGGCCAGGAGCCTGCTCCTCTACTGAAATTTCTGCTACCAAATAATTTACTTTCTCTTGTCAAAGGGTCTTTGTGCCAAGTTGAGTACTGTGGACCACTTTTCTCCATCCACAGCCTATGTTAACCACCCCTTTTTTGTTGGGCTACTTCTCCTTGTCCCTAGGTATTCTAACTTCAGGGAAGCTTCTGCTGGTAAGTTCAAGATCCATTTCTTCCCAAGGCTGGGATGGATACTACTGACAGTGTGCATACACACACACACACACACACACACACACACACACACACACACACACACACACAAATACATATATATATATATATATATACCCAATATTATATTGTCATTATCTGTGGACCTGTCTGCCTTCCCAGTGAGATTGTTACCCCTCTGAGGGCACCTCAGTTTCCTCAGCACTGGCCCCACTGTTGAGCCTGAGTAGATGATGTATAAACACTTATTAAATGAATATGTACATTTCTTCTTTATTCTTTCATCATCATGCTAAAATTAAAACTTTACCCATATGTGGACTTTATTTATTCTTACTTCCACCTTCTTTTGATGCTGATATGGTTTGGATCTGTGTCCTCACCCAAATCTCATGTTCAGTTGCAATCCTGTATGTTGGAGTTGGGCCTTAGTGGGAGGTGATTGGATCATGGGGGTGGATCCTTCATGAGTGGTTTAGCGCCATCCCCTTGGTGCTGTTCTCATGATGGTGAGTGAATTCTCATGATATCTGGTTTGTTTAAAAGTGTGTAGCACTTGTCCCCTCCCTCTCTTCTTCCTGCTACGGCCATGTGAAGTGGTAACTCCCACTTCGCCCTCCACCACGATTGTAAGTTTCCTGAGGCTTCCCCAGAAGCCAAGCAGATGCCAGCATTTGTGCTTCCTGTACAGCCTACAGAACCATAGGCCAATTAAACCTCTTTATAAATTACCCAGTCTCAGGTATTTCTTTATAGTAGTGCAATAACAGACTAATACCAATGCTGTTTTCCTTTTTTTCCTCTTAAAATCATTTCATAAAGGAATTAACTCTCCATTATATGAAATTTCTTGTTCAGTGCCATAATAATTTTCTTCTTTTTTTTTCTGAAATAGGGTCTCACTCTATTGCCCAGTCTGGAGTGCTTTGGTGAGATCACAGCTCATTGCAGCCTCCCAGGCTCAAGTGGTTCTCCTGCCTCAGCCTTGTCCTCCCAAGTACCTAGATTACAAGTGTGTGCCGCTATGTCCGGCTTTTTTATTTTTTTATTTTTGGAGAGATGGTATCCCTCTATGTTGCTCAGGCTGGTCTTGAACTCCTGGGCTCAAGCAGTCCTTCTGCCTCAGCCTCCCAAAGTGCTGGGATTACAGGCTAATTTTATTTTTTTTAAGCCAGCATCTATTTCTTTTTCTCTTTTTTCTTGTACACTTTGAAATATTTTAATTGTGCCTTTATTTTTACTTGATATCTTACAACACTGAAACCACTGTCCTCAGGCAGTGTAGCAAGATGTCTCAAAAATCATTAAGCGTTTCTCAAACTACACATCTTCATCAGAAAATTGCCAAGTCTGTACGGGATTCCTCCCTCCTCCCACTACCCAATTTTATTTTAGAATTAGCCACTATTCAGATGAAAGCTTTTGGGAATAGGTATATTAGAACTTTAAAAGTAAAAAGTTGGGAACTATTTGGTATTATAGAAATGTCTTTCAACTAAGCTTTAATTTTCTTTGTGATTAGAAAGCCACAACCTCACATTTGCCAGAGATCTTTCTTGGTTTTAATTCTAATGTAAGTTCCTTTTTACCAGGAATAGTGGGAAATCAGTTGTATTCCATCTTTTTTTTTCCAGAATTCAGAGGAGAAGTGTTTGGGTCCTCTGACATGATTCCTTCATTTACTCACTCAAGAAATATTCATTAAGCACTTATAATGTGACAGGCACCACTTTAGGTCCTGATCTACAGCAATAAACACAAAATTTGTGCTTTCACAGAAACAAATATATATACACACACACACACACACACACACACACACACACATATATATTTACATGTATAAATATATATGTACATGCTATTAGATGGTAATAAATGCTATGAAGAAAAATAACTCACTATATACACAATGGAGTACTATTCAGCCATAAAAAAGAATGAGATCCTGCCATCTGCAACAACATGGATGGAGCTGGAGGTTATTATGTTAAGTGAAATAAGCCAGGCACAGAAAGACAAACGTTGCATATTCTTACTTATTTGTGGAATCTAAGAATCAAAACAATTGAACTCATGGAGATACAGAGTAGAAGGATGATTATCAGAGGCTGGGAAAAATTGTAGGAGTGTGGGGGATGTGGCGATGGTTAGTGGGTACTAAAAGTAGTTAGAAAGAATAAGACCTAGTGTTTGCTAGCACAACAGGGTGACTGCAGTCAAAAATAATTGTACATTTTAAAACCACTAAAATAGTATAACTGGATTATATGTAACGAAGGATAAACGCTTGAGAGGATGGATACCCTGTTTACCCTAATGTGATGACTATGCATTGCATGCATGTATCAAAATATCTCATGTAACCTATAAATATATATACCTACCATGTGCCCACAAAATTAAATATGTATGTGTGAATGAAAAGAAAAATAGCTCAGAGTGTATGGAGACAGGGGAATTCAGGTGGGGGCTACTATTTCAGATAGGTCAGTTTACAGAAGCCTCTCTGATATGGTGACATTTGAGCCATACGAATAGCTTAGTACATAGGAATAAGTGTAGATATCCAGCTAGACAAGAGAAGGAAGGGGAAGACTGAGTCCTGGGGCTTTCTAGATAGAATAGAAGAGGAAGTTTTCATGACTGAGAACCTTTTCAGACTGAGAAGATGAGATTAGGGAAGTATGAGGAGAACCAGAACATGTGGAGAACTAGAAACCCGGTGAAGAAAGTACCTCAAAGAAGAAAGGGGCCAGGTGTGGTGTCTCACGCCTATAATCCCAGCACTTTGGGAGGCCGAGGAGGGCAGATCACCTGAGGTCAGGAGTTCGAGACCAGCTTGGCCAACATAGTGAAACCCCATCTCTACCAAAAATACAAAAAATTAGCCAGGTATGGTGGTGCACACCTGTACTCCCAACTATTCAGGAGGCTGAGGTGGGAGAATTGCTTGAACCCAGGAGGCGGAAGTTGCAGTGAGCCGAGACCACACCACTGCACTCCAGCCTGGGCGACAGAGTAAGACTCCATCTAAAAAAAAAAAAAGAAGAAGAGGAAAGGAATGCCAAGCTGTAATCAATGATGTTGGCAATTTGAGTAAAATGAGGACTGAGTATTGATCGTCTATTGAAGGTTATATTCCCTTAGATATCAGTTGTCCCCTCTGGTTCTCTTATCATTGGCCTACACAGGCCCCTTTCTGCAGGATCCTCTCTTCTACTGGCCCTGAGAGGCACACGTGTGCTGCTCCTGGAACCAAGCAACTTCTTCCAAGACATGGTGGGGTGTGGGATACAGTGAAGCTAAGAACCTAACTGCCCAGACACAGGAGGAAGCCATTTCTAGAGTTCGGAGACATCTTCTGGAGAAAACCTATAAAATGGAGCTCAGTTCTCTTTTCTAGGTTTTCCAAAATCCTTCTGAAGTCTCTGTCATTCCTCGTGTGCCTCATAAGTGGAATGGGATAGAACTTAGGGTCCTTTTCAGGGACCAGCCAGCATCTACATTTTTCTCCTTTCCTTTCCATTTGTACTCCTTCCCTCCAACTCAGTATTTAGTGGAAGAGTAATGGGGTGGAGTGAGCTGGAGACTTGTTATATATTTTTTCTTGTACATTGTATATATCCTGAATCCCATCAGTTTCCCTCAGGGCATAGATTTTTACTCAGAACAGAGCTTTCTTAGCTAACAACTTTTCCTGATACAGGAGTCAGGCATAGTAGTTTTCTGAATACAGAGAATGGTTAGAGGATAATAGAAAATACCGGAGGTAAGTTTTATGTTTGTCCCAATTTCTTTACCTTTTGTTTTTCCATAGGTATTCTTCATTGATCTTACTCGAAGTTGAGAACATGTATTTTGACTCTGAGAAATGTAAGTCATCTCTGCCTTCTTCCTTCCTATATTCTGCCTCCATGAGGAGAGATTTTGGTTTGGATCTGCCTAATCACAAGGCATTGAGTAGAATATATCTTCTAAGGGACAAGCATTGCCAAACACATTCAGACATCCTTCTTGTCTCTATTCCTTCCAGGTGAGGGCCAGGCCTGCTCACTTGTGTGAGGGTGCAGGCTCTTATGATCTGGCTTTCATTCTGGCTTCCTCTCTGTTGGAGTCTTCTCTTCCTCCCATTTGGAAGTCAAGTCAAGACTTCTGCTCCTGCCCAGCCTGGACCACCTTGGTCTTGGACACTGGAAGCAAACCTGTGCTTTTTAATTCTGCTTCCTGTGAGTTGTTACTGTTTATTTTCTTTGATTTCATTGTTCCCTGATTCTGACAGAAGGACGTGATTCTAGCCTTTCCTTCTATTATTGGGGTAAAGCTGAGTCTTTGCTGAGTTTAGGGGTAGCGGGCAAAGTGAAGAACAACAAAATACCTTTGATGGCTTGCTCTGAACCAAAGTTTTTTTTTTTTTTTCTGAGACAGGGTCTCGCTCTGTCACCCAGGTTGAAGTGCAGTGGCGCAATCTTGGCTCACTGCAACCTCTCCCTCCTGGGTTCAAGCGATTCTCATACCTCAGCCTCCTGAGTAGCTAAGACTACAGGTGCATGCCATCATGCCTGGCTAATGTTTGTATTTTTAGTAGAGACGGAGTTTCGCCATGTTGGCCAGGCTGGTCTCAAACTCCTGACCTCAAGTGATCTGCCCACCCCGGCCTCCCAAAGTGCTGAGATTACAGGTGTGGGCTATTATGCTCGCCAAACCAGAGCTTTTTATTTATTTAATTTTAAACTCTTTTTATTGACATATAATTCACGTAACAAAATTTACCATTTAAAAGTATACAATGTTGTGGTTTTTAGTATATTCACTGTATTGTGCAATCATTGTCACTATGTAATTCTAGAACATTTCCATCGCTACAAAAAGAAGCCCCTTACCCACAAGCAGTCACCTCTCAATTCTCCCTATCCCCAGGTCCTGGCAACAACTAATCTACTTTATGCCTCTATGGATTTGCCTATTCTGGACATTTCATATAAATGGAATCCTATAATATATGGCCTTTTATGTCTGGCTTCTTTCACTTAGCATAATGTTTATACTTTCCTAGTTTAAGGAAAAGGAATCTTCTGCATTGTCCTGTCCAGTTCATTAGAGGTCAGCATTAGAGTTCAGAGCCCAAGACTCAGCATATCAACATGCAGTACTGTACCTTTCATTTACTCATTGGCCATTGCAAACTTGGTCTAATACGAACATTTCTAGTGGCCAGCTTCAGGCACGGTCATGGTTCCTGGCAGTGGGTCAACCCACTCCACAGTCAGGAACAGTGAGAGGACCATTTGGTAAGCTGTGGTTTCCATGTGGGTCTAAATACCAGTGACAGTCTTGAATCAAATTCAAACAACTCTGCTAGTAGTAGCACTGAGAGGACCCAGCAGTTGACATTGTCAGAAGCACGAAAGGGAGAAAATGGGAGATGCCGTATCCTAGTTGAGAAGCCTTGTTAATCCCTATGAGACACCCTTGTAGGCTCCTTAAAATTATTGGAGGTGGCTTTGAGGGAGCTTGTCTTAGTCCGTTTGTGTTGCTATAAAGGAATACCTGTGGCTGGGCAATTTATTTAAAAAGAAGTTTATTTGGCTCACAGTTCCACAGGCTGTATAAGAAGCATGGTGCCGGCATCTGCTTGGCTTCTTGTGAGGCCCTCAGGCTGCTTCCATTCATGGTAGAAGGCAAAGGGAAACTGGTGTGTACAGAGGTCACATGATGAGAGAGGAAGAGAGAGAGGAGGAAGCTGCCAGACCCTTTTAAACAACCAGCTCATGAGAACCAATAAAGTGAGAACTCATTGCCATGAGAATGTCACCAAGACATTCATGAGGGATCCACCCTCATGACCCAAACACCTCCCACCAGGCCCCACCTCCAATATTGGGGATCAAATTTCTTTTTTTTTTTTTTTTAATTATACTTTAAGTTTTAGGGTACATGTGCACATTGTGCAGGTTAGTTACATATGTATACATGTGCCATGCTGGTGCACTGCACCTACTAACTCGTCATCTAGCATTAGGTATATCTCCCAATGCTATCCCTCCCCCCTCCCCCCACCCCACAACAGTCCCCAGAGTGTGATATTCCCCTTCCTGTGTCCATGTGATCTCATTGTTCAATTCCCACCTATGAGTGAGAACATGCAGTGTTTGGTTTTTTGTTCTTGCCATAGTTTACTGAGAATGATGATTTCCAATTTCATCCATGTCCCTACAAAGGACATGAACTCATCATTTTTTATGGCTGCATAGTATTCCATGGTGTATATGTGCCATATTTTCTTAATCCAGTCTATCATTGTTGGACATTTGGGTTGGTTCCAAGTCTTTGCTATTGTGAATAATGCCGCAATAAATATACGTGTGCATGTGTCTTTATAGCAGCATGATTTATAGTCCTTTGGGTATATACCCAGTAATGGGATGGCTGGGTCAAATGGTATTTCCAGTTCTAGATCCCTGAGGAATCGCCACACTGACTTCCACAATGGTTGAACTAGTTTACAGTCCCACCAACAGTGTAAAAGTGTTCCTATTTCTCCACATCCTCTCCAGCACCTGTTGTTTCCTGACTTTTTAATGATTGCCATTCTAACTGGTGTGAGATGGTATCTCATTGTGGTTTTGATTTGCATTTCTCTGATGGCCAGTGATGATGAGCATTTTTTTCATGTGTTTTTTGGCTGCATAAATGTCTTCTTTTGAGAAGTGTCTGTTCATGTCCTTCGCCCACTTTTTGATGGGGTTGTTTGTTTTTTTCTTGTAAATTTGTTTGAGTTCATTGTAGATTCTGGATAGTAGCCCTTTGTCAGATGAGTAGGTTGTGAAAATTTTCTCCCATTTTGTAGGTTGCCTGTTCACTCTGATGGTAGTTTCTCTTGCTGTGCAGAAGCTGTTTAGTTTAATTAGATCCCATTTGTCAATTTTGGCTTTTGTTGCCATTGCTTTTGGTGTTTTAGACATGAAGTCCTTGCCCATGCCTATGTCCTGAATGGTAATGCCTAGGTTTTCTTCTAGGGTTTTTATGGTTTTAGGTCTAACGTTTAAGTCTTTAATCCATCTTGAATTAATTTTTGTATAAGGTGTAAGGAATGGATCCAGTTTCAGCTTTCTACATATGGCTAGCCAGTTTTCCCAGCACCATTTATTAAATAGGGAATCCTTTCCCCATTGCTTGTTTTTCTCAGGTTTGTCAAAGATCAGATAGTTGTAGATATGTGGCGTTATTTCTGAGGGCTCTCTTCTGTTCCATTGGTCTCTATCTCTGTTTTGGTACCAGTACCATGCTGTTTTGGTTACTGTAGCCTTGTAGTATAGTTTGAAATCAGGTAGTGTGATGCCTCCAGCTTTGTTCTTTTGGCTTAGGATTGACTTGGCGATGCGGGCTCTTTTTTGGTTCCATATGAACTTTAAAGTAGTTTTTTCCAATTCTGTGAAGAAAGGCATTGGTAGCTTGTTGGGGATGGCATTGAATCTCTAAATTACCTTGGGCAGTATGGCCATTTTCACGATATTGATTCTTCCTACCCATGAGCATGGAATGTTCTTCCATTTGTTTATATCCTCTTTTATTTTCTTGAGCAGTGGTTTGTAGTTCTCCTTGAAGAGGTCCTTCACATCCCTTGTAAGTTGGATTCCTAGGTATTTTATTCTCTTTGAAGCCATTGTGAATGGGAGTTCACTCATGATTTGGTTCTCTGTTTGTCTGTTGCTGGTGTATAAGAATGCTTGTGATGTTTGCACATTGATTTTGTATCATGAGACTTTGCAGAAGTTGCTTATCAGCTTAAGGAGATTTTGGGCTGAGACAATGGGGTTTTCTAGATATACAATCATGTCGTCTGCAAACAGGGACAATTTGACTTCCTCTTTTCCTAATTGAATACCCTTTATTTCCTTCTCCTGCCTGCTTGCCCTGGCCAGAATTTCCAACACTATGTTGAATAGGAGTGGTGAGAGAGGGCATCCCTGTCTTGTGCCAGTTTTCAAAGGGAATGCTTCCAGTTTTTGCCCATTCAGTATGATATTGGCTGTGGGTTTGTCATAGATACCTCTTATTATTTTGAAATACGTCCCATCAATACCTAATTTATTGAGAGTTTTTAGCATGAAGGGTTGTTGAATTTTGTCAAAGGCTTTTTCTGCATCTATTGAGATAATCATGTGGTTTTTGTCTTTGGCTCTGTTTATATGTTGGATTACATTTATTGATTTGTGTATATTGAACCAGCCTTGCATCCCAAGGATGAAGCCCACTTGATCATGGTGGATAAGCTTTTTGATGTGCTGCTGGATTCGTTTTGCCAGTATTTTATTGAGGATTTTTGCATCAATTTTCATCAAGGATATTGGTCTAAAATTCTCTTTTTTTGTTGTGTCTCTGCCTGGGTTTGGTATCAGAATGATCCTGGCCTCATAAAATGAGTTAGGGAGGATTCCCTCTTTTTCTATCAATTGGAATAGTTTCAGAAGGAATGGTACCAGTTCCTCCTTGTACCTCTGGTAGAATTCAGCTGTGAATCCATCTGGTCCTGGACTCTTTTTGGTTGGTAAGCTATTGATTATTGCCACGATTTCAGATCCTGTTATTGGTCTATTCAGATATTCAACTTCTTCCTTGTTTAGTCTTGGGAGAATGTATGTGTCGAGGAATTTATCCATTTCTTCTAGATTTTCTAGTTTATTTGCGTAGAGGTGTTTGTAGTATTCTCTGATGGTAGTTTGTATTTCTGTGGGATCAGTGGTGATATCCCCTTTATCATTTTTTATTGCGTCTATTAGATTCTTCTCTCTTTTTTTCTTTATTAGTCTTGCTAGTGGTCTATCAATTTTGTTGATCCTTTCAAAAAACCAGGTCCTGGATTCATTAATTTTTTGAAGGGTTTTTTGTGTCTCTATTTCCTTCAGTTCTGCTCTGATTTTAGTTATTTCTTGCCTTCTGCTAGCTTTTGAATGTGTTTGCTCTTGCTTTTCTAGTTCTTTTAATTGTGATGTTAGGGTGTCAATTTTGGATCTTTCCTGCTTTCTCTTGTGGGCATTTAGTGCTATAAATTTCCCTCTACACACTGCTTTGAATGTGTCCCAGAGATTCTGGTATGTTGTGTCTTTGTTCTCGTTGGTTTCAAAGAACATCTTTATTTTCTGCCTTGATTTCGTTATGTACCCAGTAGTCATTCAGGAGCAGGTTGTTCAGTTTCCACGTAGTTGAGCAGTTTTGAGTGAGATTCTTAATTCTGAGTTCTAGTTTGATTGCACTGTGGTCTGAGAGATAGTTTGTTATAATGTCTGTTCTTTTACATTTGCTGAGGAGAGCTTTACTTCCCAGTATGTGGTCAATTTTGGAATAGGTGTGGTGTGGTGCTGAAAAAAATGTATATTCTGTTGATTTGGGGTGGAGAGTTCTGTAGATGTCTATTAGGTCCACTTGGTGCAGAGCTGAGTTCAATTCCTGGGTATCCTTGTTGACTTTCTGTCTCGTTGATCTGTCTAATGCTGACGGTGGGGTGTTAAAGTTTTCCATTATTAATGTGTGGGAGTCTAAGTCTCTTTGTAGGTCACTCAGGACTTGCTTTATGAATCTTGGTGCTCCTGTATTGGGTGCATATATATTTAGGATAGTTAGCTCTTCTTGTTGAATTGATCCCTTTACCATTATGTAATGGCCTTCTTTGTCTCTTTTGATCTTTGTTGGTTTAAAGTCTGTTTTATCAGAGACTAGGATTACAACCCCTGCCTTTTTTTGTTTTCCATTTGCTTGGTAGATCTTCCTCCATCCTTTTATTTTGAGCCTATGTGTGTCTCTGCACATGAGATGGGTTTCCTGAATACAGCACACTGATGGATCTTGACTCTTTATCCAATTTGCCAGTCTGTGTCTTTTAATTGGAGCATTTAGTCCATTTACATTTAAAGTTAATATTGTTATGTGTGAATTTGATCCTGTCATTATGATGTTAGCTGGTTATTTTGCTCGTTAGTTGATGCAGTTTCTTCCTAGTCTTGATGGTCTTTACATTTTGGCATGATTTTGCAGCGGCTGGTACTGGTTGTTCCTTTCCATGTTTAGCGCTTCCTTCAGGAGCTCTTTTAGGGCAGGCCTGGTGGTGACAAAATCTCTCAGCATTTGCTTGTCTGTAAAGTATTTTATTTCTCCTTCACTTATGAAGCTTAGTTTGGCTGGATATGAAATTGTGGGTTGAAAATTCTTGTCTTTAAGAATGTTGAATATTGGCCCCCACTCTCTTCTGGCTTGTAGGGTTTCTGCCGAGAGATCCACTGTTAGTCTGATGGGCTTCCCTTTGAGGGTAACCCGACCTTTCTCTCTGGCTGCCCTTAACATTTTTTCCTTCATTTCAACTTTGGTGAATCTGACAATTATGTGTCTTGGAGTTGCTCTTCTCGAGGAGTATCTTTGTGGCGTTCTCTGTATTTCCTGAATCTGAACGTTGGCCTGCCTTGCTAGATTGGGGAAGTTCTCCTGGATAATATCCTGCAGAGTGTTTTCCAACTTGGTTCCATTCTCCCCATCACTTTCAGGTACACCAATCAGACGTAGATTTGGTCTTTTCACATAGTCCCATATTTCTTGGAGGCTTTGCTCATTTCTTTGTATTCTTTTTTCTCTAAACTTCCCTTCTCGCTTCATTTCATTCATTCCATCTTCCATCGCTGATACCCTTTCTTCCAGTTGATCACATCGGCTCCTGAGGCTTCTGCATTCTTCACGTAGTTCTCGAGCCTTGGTTTTCAGCTCCATCAGCTCCTTTAAGCACTTCTCTGTATTGGTTATTCTAGTTATACATTCTTCTAAATTTTTTTCAAAGTTTTCAACTTCTTTGCCTTTGGTTTGAATGTCCTCCCGTAGCTCAGAGTAATTTGATCGTCTGAAGCCTTCTTCTCTCAGCTCGTCAAAGTCATTCTCCATCCAGCTTTGTTCCGTTGCTGGTGAGGAACTGCGTTCCTTTGGAGGAGGAGAGGCGCTCTGCTTTTTAGAGTTTCCAGTTTTTCTGTTCTGTTTTTTCCCCATCTTTGTGGTTTTATCTACTTTTGGTCTTTGATGATGGTGATGTACAGATGGGTTTTTGGTGTGGATGTCCTTTCTGTTTGTTAGTTTTCCTTCTAACAGGACCCTCAGCTGCAGGTCTGTTGGAATACCCTGCCGTGTGAGGTGTCAGTGTGCCCCTGCTGGGGGGTGCCTCCCAGTTAGGCTGCTCAGGGGTCAGGGGTCAGGGACCCACTTGAGGAGGCAGTCTGCCCGTTCTCAGATCTCCAGCTGCGTGCTGGGAGAACCACTGCTCTCTTCAAAGCTGTCAGACAGGGACATTTAAGTCTGCAGAGGTTACTGCTGTCTTTTTGTTTGTCTGTGCCCTGCCCCCAGAGGTGGAGCCTACAGAGGCAGCCAGGCCTCCTTGAGCTGTGGTGGACTCCACCCAGTTCGAGCTTCCTGGCTGCTTTGTTTACCTAATCAAGCCTGGGCAATGGCGGGCGCCCCTCCCCCAGCCTCGCTGCCGCTGCTGCCTTGCAGTTTGATCTCAGACTGCTGTGCTAGCAATCAGCGAGACTCTGTGGGCATAGGACCCTCCAAGCCAGGTGCGGGATACAATCTCGTGGTGCGCCGTTTTTTAAGCCCGTCGGAAAAGCGCAGTATTCGGGTGGGAGTGACTCGATTTTCCAGGTGCCGTCCGTCACCCCTTTCTTTGACTCGGAAAGGGAACTCCCTGACCCCTTGAGCTTCCCAGGTGAGGCAATGCCTTGCCCTGCTTCGGCTCGTGCACGGTGCGCGCGCCCACTGACCGGCACCCACTGTCTGGCACTCCCTAGTGAGATGAACCCGGTACCTCAGATGGAAATGCAGAAATCACCGTCTTCTGTGTCGCTTAGGCTGGGAGCTGTAGACCAGAGCTGTTCCTATTCGGCCATCTTGGCTCCCCTTTCTTGGGGATCAAATTTCAACATGAGATTTGGAGGACAAACATTCAAACTATAGTAAGGCTTATAACAGTACATGAATAGTATGACAGTCAAAAGTTTTTTTGTTTTTATTTTTTTGTTGTTGTTGTTTTGAGACAGAGTCTTGCTCTGTCACCCAGGCTAGAGTGCAGTGGTGCTACTGCAACCTCCGCCCCCCAGGTT
The DNA here is from genome assembly GCF_000001405.40 of Homo sapiens. Classification (NCBI taxonomy): domain Eukaryota; kingdom Metazoa; phylum Chordata; class Mammalia; order Primates; family Hominidae; genus Homo; species Homo sapiens. The sequence goes on along the minus strand of NC_000013.11, from coordinate 73,640,317 downwards.
CAAGTGATTCTCCTACCTCAGCCTCCCGAGTAGCTGGGATTACAGGTACGTGCCACCATGCCCAGCTAATTTTTGTATTTTTAGTAGAGATGGGATTTTGCTAATTTGGCCAGGCTGGTCTTGAACTCCTGACCTCAAGTGATATGCCTGCCTCAGCCTCCCAAAGTGCTGGGATTACAGGTGTGAGCCACTGCACCCAGCCAAGAGTTATTTATACTAACAGTATAGTCTCATTTTTACCCCAAGACTGATGATCTTGGGAAACACTGATCAGTTTTATAAACAAAAGAGGATTCCCTCATATACACTGATGAAGCCTAATGTTTTGAATTCATGGGCTACTTTTTTGATAACTTCAACCAGGGACCTAATCAAGATCCCAAAAATATAACTTGAAAGAGCAATAACTCAAATAACTGAGGAGGAGTCCAGTCTCACTCGAGCGTTTCCCATTTAGCCTTAGTAGCTGGCACTGTTTCCTAAAATTCCCTCTTCTCCTCTCTCCCTCCCACCATTCTAAGAGGTAGAGTCTGATAGGAAAAAAAAAACAACAACCAGAAAAAGTTGAATGGCTCTACTACTTACCAATTGATGCTCTTAGACAAGTTAATTAATATTGTGGAACGTTGGTGTCCTCTGGTGTAAAATGGGGACTATAATGCCACTTTCCAGATGTTTTGGGAAGTTCAACTGGATTAGTGTCCATAAAATGAGTAGCAAACTGCCTGGCATGGTAGGCACTCAGTCAATAGTAGTTGCTTTCTCACTGCTGTTGACTGGGCCCCTAAAAGAAACCAGCTTGACTGGTGCTGGAAAGGCAAGTCCCCAGGACAGTCTTCCTTGAAAGCCCATGGGAGCCAACTCCATTAGCACAGTTTCTCTTTGGGAGCTCTATTAGCGGTTGCCTCTGACCACAGTCTATCTGCTGCCTTCATTGATTCTTTTTCAATATCAGTCATGCTAGGCACATGCAACATTTAGCCTCTGATTTCCTACACCAGGTATAGTAGGTAAGTCCTAAGTTGTCCCTAGGTCCACACATACAGTTTCAGGCAACCTTCACATCTCTGCTTCACTCATTGCCATGACACCCTGACCAGGTAGGTCTCAGCCTACCTCCCCACTCCTGATTCCTCACAGTGACACTTCCTACACCAATGATGGAAGGCAGGATAAAAAATCAATCTCTGACTTTTTTTCTTCTCCTCTCACACATTCTTCTCTTCCCCCTCTCCTCCTGCATCCCATCTCAACTTACTCCTTTCTTCCATTTTCTAAGTTCTCTTTTGAGGTTGATGAAGGAGAAAATAAACCTCGAGAAACAATGGATACCATTGTCTGAGTGTTTCCAGAAATGACTGATTAGTATTAAGTCTGCCAAATTGAAAATAATCAGTTTTTGGCACTCACTGGAGTTTATGCAGACAACACTAAACAATTTCATCTTTTCATGAGAAAAGATCCAAAGATAATTCTTAAGGAAAAATCTGACTTTGATGTCAGGTATCCCATGGCTCATCTCCTGGGAAGGTGTTTCACTCTTCACATGAATGCGGAGTCAGGTCAGCTTTACAGACTTGCTCATATGTGCCCCTCATTATATAGCTGGGATCCAAAATATAAGGGAGCGGGTAGAACTTCAGCCAGGAGCTGAGCATAGAATCTGTATCATATAGTAGTTAAAAGCCCAGCTCTAGTACCAGGCTACTGAGATGTGAAGCACTAGTTTATTGACCATGGGAAAATTTAATAAAATCTTGGTTTTGTAGTATAGAAAATAGATAGAATAATGTTTGTTACCCCAATAAGTTTGTGTGGGACTTATGCATTACAATCAAGGTCTGGAGCCTAGGAAGGTACTCAAAAAGTATTAGCTATTATTATTGTTGTTGATGATGTAATTGTTATTATTTTCCAAGCTGAAGCTAGAGAACTTAATTTAGGACTGAGAGAAGTAAAATAATATGTATGTAAAGAAGATAAGTAGATTGTTCGAGACAGTGGTTCAAAAACTTGAGGGTACATCATAATCACAGAGAGGGCTTGTAAACATTTACACAGAGCGCTAGCCCTGCCCCTGGAGTTTCTTTTAGTACTTCTGAGATAGGGAAAGAGAATTTGCATTTATTTTTGTTTTTGTTTTTTGAGACAGGGTCTTACTCTGTCGCCCAGACTGGAGTGCAATGGAGTGATCATGGCTTACTGCAGCCTTGACCTCCCAGCCTCAAGTGATCCTTCCTCCTCAGCCTTCTGAGTAGCTGGGAATACAGGCATGCGCCACCGCATCCAGCTAATTTTTTTTAATTTTTAGTAGAGATGAGGTCTCACTATGTTGGCTAGGCTGGTCTTAAACTCCTCAGCTCAAGAGATCCTCCTGCCTCAGCCTCCCAATGTGCTAGGATGACAGGTATGAACCCGGGCGCCCAACCTGCATTTCTAGGCAGAACTCAGTTGATGCTGTTGGGGCTTGTCTGTGGGCCATGCTTGGAGCAGTACTAAGTTATGCTATTTCTCTTTGAGAAAAAGAATTTGAGTTTTTATCAATGGTTGATACAAAACATGGCCACGTTTCTATAACTTTTTTCTGAGGAAGCAGGGTCGAGGCTCGCCAGTTTTCAATGCCCTATAAATGAATACTTAGGTTGATTCTTCTCATTCACCAGACATGTAAACTGAGCCTCTGTGATGTGCCTGGCACTGTGCTAGGTACTAGAAATAGAGCAGTGCATCAGACAGACACTCTCCCTATCCCCACGGAGCTGACAGCCTGCTGGGGTGATAGGCATTAAGCAAATAATTACACAAATGCAAAATTACAGATTCTATTGAGTAAAAGAACTTAATTCTCCTATCAACACTGTGAGATAGTACAAATATTATTGTCCCTATTTTAGAGCTAAGGAAAAATGTACAGAATCAAATAATTTTAAGGCTGGCAGAACTCTTAGAAGTCACCTCTCTTAAACTCAATACAAACAGAGTTAAAGAACTTCCTCAAAGTCACAAGAGTAACTGGCATCAAAGCTGAAATTAGATTCTCATTTGAATTTTCTCTTCATACTGTCTGAAAACTGAAAACATGGGCTTGGTGTTTTATAGCATGTATGCTATATATAACATATCAACTATGTTAGCAAGAAAAAAATAATAACAAGGGAGCCAGCAGGTGACAAAAATAGACTTTCTGCCAGACTGATTTAGAGCATTGTGTGATATTTATAACTTCATTTCTACTTCTCTTGGTGGCCTGGAAGTCAGACATTATTTTTTTATTATGTTATTTAGTGAGTGTTTTTCTCTCTGAATTTTGGAATAAATTGTCAAAAGAACACTTGACCTTATCTGATGAAGTTTTACTATAAGTCATTTATTTTTAAAATTGAAAACCTTATTTAAAACAGTCCACAATTTCTGAAAATAAGCTACTTTACAAATTTTTGTAAAAATATAATTGTAATTATTTTGTAAAACACCTCTCTATCAGGTACTCATTAACCTTGTCAATTTTTTTCTCGGTTCTAATAACAACAAAACTAAAAAATCCATAAAGTAAATAAGAAATATTATTACTAATTAGAACACATTGAAAGAGAGTGATGAGAATCCTGTATATTTCAAGTCACAAATTTTAGAGAAAAACTTTTAAATGACATGAGACATATCCATTACATACATGACTTTTTGAGCTATGAAAATTAGATCTTAACCTCAATTAAATAATTCTGAACCTGGTTACAAGGGATCTCATTTTTGTGATCTGTAAATGTGTGGAGTGGAGAGTAAATCATGGCGCCCCACATTATTTCTCACGCGTATATGATCACAGAGTTTCAAAGTCACCAGAGCCAGATGGAAATCTTCTTTAAAAATCAGATAAAGTAGTATTTCTAGAGTCAAAAAAAAAAAAAAAAAAAAAAGATGGAAAATGCCTACTCTTACCTCCGATCGTATGGATGAAGAAACCAAGTTCCTGAGAGGAAATGACTTGGCCATGATTGCTATCGGTGGCAAATCTGTATGGGTCTAGACCAACCTCAGTTCTTGCCTCCTCAGAAGAAATAATTTGACCAAAGTGCATAAAGCAGAGTGAGAGACTGAGGCAAGTTTTAGGGCAGGAGTAGAAGTTATTAAAAAGCTTTAGAACAAGAGAGAAAAAAATACAAAATATACTTGGAAGAGGGCCAAGTGGGAGACTTGAGAGATCAAGGGCACAGTTTGACCTTTGACCTGGGGTTTTACACATTGGCATGCTTCTTGGGAGGTTGCAGCCCTTCTCTCCTGATTCTTCCCTTTGGCTGTCTGCATGTGCAGTGGCCTGCTAGTGCTTGGGAGGGCCTGCGTGTGCAGTGTGTTTACTGAAGTTGTGTGCATGCTCACCTGAGGCGTTTTCCCTTACCAGTCCAGTGTTCCTAAAGGAAGGTCATATACCAGTTAAACTCTGAGGCCATTTTGCCTCAGTTGGGTGAGTGGACACCTCTTAGTGTGCATGCTTGAGCCCACTTGCCCAACTCCTGAGATCTTATCGGGAAGCCGCTGATCACCAGCTTCAGGTGTTTTCTATCTGTTGGGAGACTGTCTTTTCATGGCGCTGGCTGCAACCCATTATTACTTTAGAGAGATAGTTTAAAAACCTCCTGGCCATCACCTGATGGTTGCCTGACATTCCTGGTGGGGTTGGGGGAGGCTCTTCTGCCCTGCTCATGTCTGACTAGTTGCCTACTGTAACATGATCACATGGCAAACTCCCAATCTCCTGATTCCTCATCTGGTGCTTTTCTCTGAGCTATGGTAGTGGCAGTGTTTTATAAGTTTTATCGTATCCCCTTTCTTCCACCCCATGGGTGCCCCTTCAGCCAAGGTAAGGAATTTCTTATACCTGCTGTCAAGGGAGAGAAAAAATTGCAAAGTCAAAGGAGTCTATTCCTGGCTTTGGTGTTGCATAAGCCTAGATCTTGGAATGAAACAAGAGATTTGAAACGATGCATGATGAGATAAGAGCAAGCATTCCTGCCTCAAGCTGGAGAAAGATTATCTGGGATGAGGAAGGAGAAGTTCAAAAGGCAGACGCAGAATTTAGACACTGTTGGTTTCTGAGAAGGGAGCCAGTGACCTGCTTCTTCTTAGCCAAACACCCAGGGGGAGAGGGTGCCATAGAACTCTGGATGCAGTTGGAAGGTCCAGGAGCAAAGAGGATCTAAGTCCCCATCCCTTGGAGACAGAGGGAGCCTTCAGCATCCCCAGCCTTCATGGCAGGGAGCAGAAGCAGGGCTGGGTGAATGAGCCTCAGACAGTTTCGTCAGGTTCTCAGTTCTACTCCTTGGCACAGAAGCAATGGAATGATGACATGCACCCAAGAAGGATGGACATGGCACAAAAGCGGAGGAGCCAGAAGGAGGCTGAGGCTGTGGCTGAGGAGGGAGGCAGCTGAGACCTACAACAATCACTGTAGGTCCTGCAGGCGTGGATGCCAGCCCTTCTTTCAGCCCCTGCCCATGCCTCTACACTATGTAAGCCACCCTATATTTAGACCTAATCCCGAGGAAAGGAAGGAGTAGCTGAAAGTGGGGGTAGGAGACCACATTGTCTTGACTGAGATCAAATTTCCAACCATTTGGCCAAATAGGAAATGAAAATAAATATTAAGTTCAGTCATAAGAAAATAGAGAAATTTCTGGTACAAGAGTTTGTGGGTGAGGTTTGTTTCTTTTTTTCCTGCTACAATCTTACTGCTTATTTGGCTTGAATGCAGTTTTTACAAATGGCAAAGAGTTACTTTCCTGAATTCAACTTAAGAAACAATAATTTAGTCCAATTAGGTGGCATTTAAATGGCCTTAAATAACATTTGAGGAAATGCTGCAACTCCTCTTTTAAATGAAAAACTGTTGGGAAGAACAATTTCTATCTTTAAATATTTTAATGTAAAACTTGTGTTGGTATTACATTTTGGATTTGAAGACCAATTCAGCCCCCATACATTCCCTTCTCACATCCTGTGTTAAGAACTTTCCAGTCGACTGCAGCGCGGGCCTCCAGACAAGACCTCCCAACTTCCTCTGGGACACACCCCCAGCTCACTGTCAGCAGAGAACATGATCATTTCCTTATTGTAATCCAAATGGTCCTCCTTACTTTGCAATCTTATTGTTATTTACACATTTCAGATGTTCCCACATTTATTTCTGAAGCACATGCAATTAACTTTCAACTAACATTTACTCATGCCCTTGGGAATTACCATTTGTATCTTCTCTTTAAAAAAAAAAAAAAAAAAGGACAAGGGTCTAGCTCCCTTTTCTGTGCATGGGAGGTGTCAGGAAGCAGCATGCTCCCATAGTTAAAGCAGAGGCTTTGGAGCCCTTTCTGTCTTTGAGTCTTTAGGCAAATCACTTAACCTATGTAAGCCTCAGTTTTCTCATTTGTAAAATGAAGATATAATAGTTTCTACCTCTTGGGGTTGGAAGGATTAAATGTAACCCATGTGAAATACTTCGTGCTGTTTCTGGCAAATGGTTAGTGTTCAAGAAATGGCAATGATTATTACTATTGTGTGACCTGGAACAAGGGATCTGCCACATCTGTCCTCTCCCACCCCCAGTAATTTTCTTCTTCACTTTGTACTATTATTCCTTAAATGCTTGTTGAATATATTCTGAATGAAGCATTTACCATTTGCTTTCAGTATTCAGTTCAATAAACTTTAATTAAACCCACACCATGCACCAGACACCATGGTAGTGAAACAAAATGGATAAAATGTAGTCTCTATTCTTTGTCTTACAGTGTGGGAGTGTTTTAATAATTTCACATACGTGCATGTTGAGTGGAGGGGGCACTGGAGAATCATTGAAGGCTTTCTGGGGGAGGCCACCACTAACCTGAGTCCTGAGCCATGTGTGAGAGTTAGCCAGGTGAAGAATGGTGGGCAGACCTTTCCAGGCATTGAGAAGAACATGGAACACAGGAAGAAACAACATGAAGACATGGTATGTGGGGGAAACATACCCCCACCGTTTGTGGAGACTGGGGTAAAAGTGCAAATGGAGGTAGCATATCTTACATCTAAATAGTTAGACACTATAAATCAAGCTAACCACCTGCTATGTAAAACAAGGTTTATGCTCCTACCTTGACAAATATATCTTCATAACATCTTGGAAGGCTGGGTTCTAATTTGGAATTTTAGAATTTATTGGAATTCCAGGCTAGAAATATGATGGTAAGGAAAGACAGCCCTTAACCGATGGTCTACTGCTATGGGCTGAAAGTTTGAGTCCCTCCAAAATTCACATGCAGAAACTCTAATCCTCAGTATAATGATATCTGGGATGGGGTCTCTGGGAGGTAAGTGGGTCATGAGGGTGGAACCCTCATGATGGGATTAACACCCTTGTTTTAGTTTTCTGCCCACCTCCCCGACCCACAACACCATGTGAGGAAACCAGGAAGAAAGTTCTCACCAGACACCGGATCTGCTGGCACCTTGATCTTTGTCTTAGCAGCGTTCAGAACTGTTAGAAATAAATTTCTGTGATTTAAGTCACCCGGTCTGTGGTATTTTGTGATAGGACCCCCTAAACAGACTGACATCCATCTTCCTGTTTTCTTACCCCTGGTTCCACAGCCCACCTCCTCCTTTTTGGCAACACTGCTAACATTTGCCTCTTGGCCAGCCTACCTCACACTTGCCCAGAGGCATGTGCTATCCTTCAGAGCATAAATTCAGAAAATTAACCCATGCCAGCTTTGGAAAGGGTTTTGGGTCCTTTGTCCAGGGAAGTCGGGATACCAAACATCTGAGGCATGGTCCACAAGAAGGAAACTTGGGCTACAGGTGATTTCTGCTCAGCTACCTAGATTCCTCACCTGTGGGAAGACCAGGCAGCACCAGAGCTGAGGCCTCTGAAGATCTAAGCTCAGCACAGATACCCTGCACGCCTGGGTCTAGGAGTGGTACTGAAGGGAAGTTACAATTCTCCATATAGGCACATAAAGAGGAAGGCAGAGAGAGTGCTATAAAAGGCTGGAGGGGGAGATAGGATCTGTCATGGATGTCTTTGCGTTAAAGTGGGGCTGAACTGGAATCCTTTGCTTATGTGGAAACACTGAAAGACTGTGTGCAAAGAAATGTCATGATTACATACTTTTTAAAGTAAATAATCGGCTACGGTTTGGAGAACAGATTGAGAGTCAAAAGTCAAAACAAAACAGGGGTACAGTTTGGGATGGTCCAGATGATAGATGAAGTAGAATTCTGGGGAGATGAGAAGATGGGGTCAGTCCATGCTTTGGAGGTAAAATGGATTGGAACTGCAGAGTGGAGGTGCCAGTAGGAAATTGTGAAGGATGGAAGACTACAGGATTTGGGTTACTGGCTTTGTATCAGTTTTTTAAATTGCTGTCATAAGAAATTACCACAAATTTAGCAGCTTAAAACAATACCTATGTATTATCTCACAGCGTGTCTCATCTAGATTCCCTGCTTAGAATCTCAGAAGGTTAAAATCAAGGTGTCAATGGGGCTCCATTCCCTTCTGGAAGATTTGTGAATGCATCCGCTTCTAAGTGCACACAGGCTGTGGGTTAAAGTCAATTCTTTGAGGCTGCAGCACTGAGGTTCCCATTTCCTTACTAGCTGTCAGCCAGGGCGAGTCTTTACTCCTAGATGCTACACACGTTTCTTCTCAAGCGTTCCATCTGGACCCCTTCCAGTGACAGCAGGTTGAATTCCTCTCATGCTTTGATTCTCTCCAGCTCCCCTTTCTGTGGCATTTCTCTGCTGCATCTCTCTTCTGCAATCAGAAGAGAACATTTTCTGCTTTTAAGGACACATGATTAAATTAGCTAATCCAGAACAATCGCTCCATTCTCAGATCTGCAAAGTTCTTTCTGCCATTTAACAATACATTCACAGGTTTTGAGGATTGGAATGTGAAGTCTTTAGAGGAAGGGTCTCCAACTCTTGGGCCAAAGACTGGTACCAGGCAGCTAGAAACCGGGCAGCAGCCAGGCACAGTGGCTCATGCCTGTAATCCCAGCACTTTGGGAGACCAAGGCAGGTGGATCGCTTAAGCTCAGCAGTTTGAGATCAGCTTGGGCAACATGGCCAAACCTTGTCTCTACTAAAAATACAAAAAAGCACATTGCATTTATTGTGCACTTTATTTACAGCTGGGTGGTGGCACGTCCCTGTGGTCCCAGCTACTCAGGAGGCTGAGGTGGGAGGACCGCTTGAGCCCAGAGGATCAGAGGTTGCAGCCAGCCGAGATTGTGCCACTGCATTCCAGCCTGGGTGACAGAGCAAGACCCTGCCTCCAAAAAAAAAAAAGAGAGGAACTTAGCCACACAGTAGGTGGCAGGTAAATGAGTGTTACTGCCTGAGCTCCACCTCCTGTCAGATCTGCCCTGGCATTAGATTCTCACAGGAGCGTGAACCCTATTGTGAACTATGCATGCGAGGCATCTAAGTTGCATGCTCCTTATGAGAATCTAATGCCTGATGATCTGTCACTGTCTCCCATCACCCACAGAGGCGACCATCTAGTTGCAGGAAAATAAGCTCAGCAATAATTAATAGCCTACCAACCAAAAAAAGTCCAGGACCAGATGGATTCACAGCCGATTTCTATCAGAGGTACAAGGAGGAGCTGGTACCATTCCTTCTGAAACTATTCCAATTGATAGAAAAAGAAGGAATCCTCCCTAACTCATTTTATGAGGCCAGCATCATCCTGATACCAAAGCCTGGCAGAGACACAACAAAAAAAGAGACTTTTAGACCAATATCCCTGATGAACATTCATGCAAAAATCCTCAATAAAATACTGGCAAATCGAATCCAGCAACACATCAAAAAGCTTATCCACCATGATCAAGTGGGCTTCATCCCTGGGATGCAAGCCTGGTTCAACATACGCAAATCAATAAACGTAATCCAGTATATAAACAGAACCAAAGACAAAAACCATATGATTATCTCAATAGATGCAGAAAAGGCCTTTGACAAAATTCAACAGCCCTTCACACTAAAAACTCTCAGTAAATTAGGTATTGATGGGATGTATCTCAAAATAATAAGAGCGATTTATGACAAACCCACCATTAATATCACACTGAATGGGCAAAAACTGGAAGCATTCCCTTTGAAAACTGGCACAAGACAGGGATGCCCTCTCTCACCACTCCTATTCAACATAGTGTTGGAAGTTCTGGCCAGGACAAGCAGGCAGGAGAAAGAAATAAAGGGTATTCAATTAGGAAAAGAGGAAGTCAAATTGTCCCTGTTTGCAGATGACATGATTGTATATCTAGAAAACCCCATTGTCTCAGCCCAAAATCTTAAGCTGATAAGCAACTTCAGCAAAGTCTCATGATACAAAATCAATGTGCAAACATCACAAGCATTCTTATACACCAATAACAGACAAACAGAGAACCAAATCGTGAGTGAACTCTCATTCACAATTGCTTCAAAGAGAATAAAATACCTAGGAATCCAACTTACAAGGGATGTGAAGGACCTCTTCAAGGAGAACTACAAACCACTGCTCAACGAAATAAAACAGGGCATAAACAAATGGAAGAACATTCCATGGTCATGGACAGGAAGAATCAATATCGTGAAAATGTCCATACTGCCCAAGGTAATTTATAGATTCAATGCCATCCCCATCAAGCTACCAATGACTTTCTTCACAGAATTGGAAAAAACTACTTTAAAGTTCATATGGAACCAAAAAAGAGCCCGCATTGCCAAGTCAATCCTAAGCCAAAAGAACAAAGCTGGAGGCATCACACTACCTGACTTCAAACTATACTACAAGGCTGCAGTAACCAAAACAGCATGGTACTGCTACCAAAACAGAGATATAGACCAATGGAACAGAACAGAGCCCTCAGAAATAATACCACACATCTACAACCATCTGATCTTTGACAAACCTGACAAAAACAAGAAATGGGGAAAGGATTCCCTATTTAATAAATGGTGCTGGGAAAACTGACTAGCCATATGTAGAAAGCTGAAACTGGATCCATTCCTTACACCTTATACAAAAATTAATTCAAGATGGATTAAAGACTTAAATGTTAGACCTAAAACCATAAAAACCCTAGAAGAAAACCTAGGCATTACCATTCAGGACATAGGCATGGGCAAGAACTTCATGTCTAAAACACCAAAAGCAATGGCAGCAAAAGCCAAAATTGACAAATGGGATCTAATTAAACTAAAGAGCTTCTGCACAGCAAAAGAAACTACCATCAGAGTGAACAGGCAACCTACAGAATGGGACAAAATTTTTGCAATCTACTCATCTGACAAAGGGCTAATATCCAAAATCTACAAAGAACTCAAACAAATTTACAAGAAAAAAACAACCCCATCAAAAAGTGGGCAAAGGATATGAACAGATACTTCTTAAAAGAAGACATTTATGCAACCAACAGACACATGAAAAAATGCTCACCATCTGGCCATCAGAGAAATGCAAATCAAAACCGCAATGAGATACCATCTCACACCAGTTAGAATGGCGATCATTAAAAAGTCAGGAAACAACAGGTGCTGGAGAGGATGTGGAGAAATAGGAACACTTTTATACTGCTGGTGGGACTGTAAACTAGTTCAACCATTGTGGAAGGCAGTGTGGTGATTCCTCAAGGATCTAGAACTAGAAATACCATTTGACCCAGCCATCCCATTACTGGGTATATACCCAAAGGATTATAAATCATGCTGCTATAAAGACACATGCACACGTATGTTTATTGCGGCACTATTCACAATAGCAAAGACTTGGAACCAACCCAAATGTCCATCAATGATAGACTGGATTAAGAAAACGTGTCACATATACACCATGGAATACTATGCAGCCATAAAAAATGATGAGTTCATGTCCTTTGTAGGGACATGGATGAAGCTGGAAACCATCATTCTCAGCAAACAATCGCAAGGACAGAAAACCAAACACTGCATGTTCTCACTCATAGGTGGGAATTGAACAATGAAAACACTTGGACACAGGAAGGAGAACATCACACACTGGGGCCTGTTTTGGGGTGGGGGGAGGTGGGAGGGATAGCATTAAGAGATATATCTAATGTAAATGATGAGTTAATGGGTGCAGCACACCAACATGGCACACGTATACATATGTAACGAACTTGCATGTTGTGCATATATACCCTAGAACTTATAGTATAATAAAGAAAATAGAAAGAAAAGAAAATAAGCTCAGGGCTACTACTGATTCTATGTTGTGACAAGTTGTATAATTATTTCATTATGTGTTACAGTGTAATAATAATAGAAATAAAGTGCACAATAAATGGGATGTGCTTGAATCATCTTGAAACCATCCTGCTCTCCTGGTCTGTGGAAAAACTGTCTTCCATGAAACCAGTGCTTGGTGCCAAAAAGGTTGGGGACTGCTGCTTTAGAGGGTCCATTCTGCCTACCATGGGCTGTAAAAAGCTCCTGGAATTATGTAGTCTAAATGACCAGCTCGGTCTACAGATGTCCCTTTTCGAAGGCCAGTCAGCTGGATTGGTGGCAGAAGTTGGGTGAATATCTAGCCCTTCTGATTTCTGGTCTAGGACAGACATAACCATAGTATCTGGTAACCTCTGACTCCACCTACCTCAATCCCACCCAACTGCTCTCTATCAAATCTCCTTGTTCATTTCCTTCATTCTAAAATGTTATTAAATGTTATTAGTTTACTTATTTATTGGATGTATTTTCTCACACAGTTATTCAAGTTCCCAATTAAACTGTAAGTCTAAAATAAGGATTTTTTTTTTCCTGGTTTGTTCACCATTGAATCTCCAGCACTACAAATGTGTTTGCTACACAGTATATATCAATAAATACTTGTTGAATGAATAATGATGTTAACATTTGGCTTGAATATGTGAGTCTTCAAAAAAAGAAGCAACACTACAATTCAAAACTTTTTCAATCTCAAAGTTCAAAGCATGTTCAGTTATCCACTGATTCTTTTGGCAAACCCTCTTCATTTCAAATATGCAGGTGCAGTGTACCCACTCACATGATAATGTCAACATCAAAATCAGTTGGGATTGACTGTGGTTGGATTTTCCCTAGGCAATGTACAGTGTATTAAATTTTGCATGCAAAGCAAGCCATTGTAACCTTCTACGGTAATGTATCATCCATGAGTGGTCCCATTAAAATAAATCAGCAATAGTAAGGCATGATTTTGTTTTATATTTAACATACTAATGAGTGTTACCAGGGCCAGCTGGACATTTGCATATGTTTATATTTTCCACAATGTTTTCTTATAAATTTTACCTCTACCTAAACCTTACTTGTCATACAGGGTTGGAAATAACTTCCGGTCATCTCGTCCATCCTCTTCCTTAGATCATAAGTGTATGAAAAACATCCATAAAGTCAGCTGAGCCGCTATTTCTTTTTTATTTTAATTTTTTGAGATGGAGTCTCGCTCTGTCACCCAGGCTGGAGTGCAGCGGCGCGATCTCGGCTCACTGCAAGCTCCGCCTCCCGGCTTCACGCCATTCTCCTGCCTCAGCCTCTCGAGTAGCTGGGACTACAAGTGCCCGCCACCACGCCCGGCTAATTTTTTTTTTTTTTTGTATTTTTAGTAAAGACGGGTTTCACTGTGTTAGCCAGGATGGTCTCGATCTCCTGACCTTGTGATCCGCCCGTCTCAGCCCCCCAAAGTGCTGGGATTACAGGCGTGAGCCACCGCGCCTGGCGCAGCTATTTCTTAAATAGTCTCCAAAAATATGGCTTTTTGACTGAAAGCCCTGAGTTTCATGACTATTAAGCCAAATATATTCTTTCCAAGTCTTACTTGTTCTTCCTCCCGTTACTATTTAAATTTCACTGACTTAATTATCCTCTCATATTTATCTCAGTGAACAGAGAATAACATAAAAAATAATTTATATCCTTAATTTTTCTTCAGGCTTCCACAGTAGATAATAGCTACAAAGTTAGGTTTTATTCGCTGGGATTCTTTTTCTTAAATGGCTGACTATACATTCTTTGAAGCTACATCTTATTTAGGACCTCAAGGTGAACACAGTATTTTATTGAAGTCCTAATTAGCGATGTATGTAGCGAGTGGGTGACTTCTTCCTGTGTGCTGCATCCGCAGAGAGACACAGCATTTCTGTGAAGGAGATCCCAATCTACAGGAAGCTCTGCACATAGAGTGAGTTTTGAGGTCTAAGCACATGCCCACTAAAAGGCAATCAGAAACACGCTGCATGCCAAAGGTAGGAAACCTGCTTTTCAAAAAAAAAAAAAAAAAAAAAAAAAGAGATTTAAAAATTGGCCTGTAAACATAGAAAAGAAATTGAATCTTTAAAATCAGATATTAACGGGGATATTGACAAACTTTCTGTGCTGGTTGTTTTAATGCTTCTGGAGTTTATTTTAAATTAATCCCTATCAAAATACACATAGAACTTACTTCAGGTGCACCTTTAGTTTAGAAGCCACAGTGGACCCCAAGAAGAGTAAGAGATGCAGTGAAGCCCGTCTCATTCTATGTGCAGAGCTTCCTGTAGACTGGGATCTCCTTCACAGGAGCTGCCAAGGTTCAACAAGCTTGGGGTTATCACTGGAGTTTCCTGGTGGTGTTCGCTGGAACCTTTGTGGTCTTACTGGACTTTTACTTGTTATACTGCTCCAAGGAGCATTTCACAAGCAGAGTTTAGATTCAGTTTTTAAGAATTAGCTATTTTTAAAACAATTTCAGTCTTGTCCGTGCTATAGTTTCTGGAGACCTTTCTTTTCTTCAAGCTCCAAATTTCCTTCTTGTAGCACCTCATTTCATAGAGGTGTCTTGCTCCTATGTATCTTTAAAGACAGCACTAAAAAGCAAACGATGCCAGATTTGCCATTAGTGGACTATGGAAATAGTTTACAAATCAATTTTATTGTAACCTGATTTAGGAATCATGTGCAGGGGTCAGGGGAGACTGGCTTCACAGTATGCATCTACAACCTTAAGATCCTATCACTGTATTGGTTGTGAATATATAAGTGTGAATTACATCCAGAATATAAACAAACATAAATTGTTTTATAAATTTGTTCTCACTTTTATTATGTAACTAATTCAGGCTGTTATGTAATGAATTCAGGCTTTATTAGATTTCACAATTTCTAAAAACATACACTTGATATGACTTCTTTGAACCTTGTGTTGATCCTTTGAGCAACGAGATGCACTGGGTATCATTGTATAATCAGTAGGGCATTATTTGATCCCAAATACAAGGAAATCTGTGGGTCTAAAACTTTTTTTTGCCTTTACTAGGTAAATATTCTGGATTATTCATAATCCACTTCAATCCCTGATTCAAAGACATTCAAAAGAGCATATTAATTCTTTTCCTAACTCCTTACATATTTTCCTTCTGTGAATTTAGTGATGCTTTTCCTACATTTGGTATATTTGGAAATTTTACTTTTGTTCAATATTTACAGCTCATCACAACTTATGCTAAGACTGAATTTTTTTTAATACCTCTTCAGGGCTATGTGTCTGGATCTGTAGTGGAGCAGAGTTTGTTTTCAAAAGTACCCCTTAGGGAAATCTAATATACAGTTTATTTGTAAATTATATAATCCGCTTCAAAATTAGGTTCTTTTCTATTGGTTAGATAAAAACGTACACAAGAAAATGCATGTACATTCTTTTTGTACCCATAATGGGCAATTTTCTTAATGCATAATAAATTACAGTTCTTAACTTCCTTAGAATGTGTGTAAGGAAACAAGATGGATAAACATATTACAGTTACAGAAATACATCACAAAAATCCTCACGATTTAGCATACTGCTAGTTACACATCACTATTTCTCATCGCTGCATTTTTTTCTATACCTCATGGCTCTTTTATATACTCTTATGCCTTATCAGAGATTCTGGGGAAATTCGATAGATAGGAAGATAGAAAAAGCTATCAAAAGCTGGAAAATTGGGTAAATAGCAAAACATTTTTACCTTGTTGATAAAGAAAGTAGAACAATATGCCTCTTTCTGAATCAGTTCACACTCTACAGAGTGTTTTCAAATATTTTATAAGATGGTTACATTATTATTAGAAAGCAATAATAATTATAACTATACCTATATAGATACAGAAACCATTTTTTGAACAGGAGACTATGTGTTGATATGTATTTTATATGAAAAAGAAGTACTTATTTTAGCTAACTGCATTAAAACAAACAACTGGAAGACTAAAACCTGCACATTGCCTTCTCTAAGACAATTCTGAAAAGCTAGACTCTAAAATGAGCCGCCTTAATAAAAGTGGAAAGGTCTGGAGAGAAAAAAGAAGCATGGGCTGGTTCTTGGCCAATCGGGATTTACTGGGTTGTATCTTCGGGTAACGACTGACAGCCATGGATGGTTGGAAGATGGAAGAATGAGAGTAATAGGGACACTAACACCTGATCAATTGAATCCTGTGGTTTTACAAACAAAAAACTATGGCTCCTTGGGTCCTGGAGGAAAAATAAACAGAGATCCTCCCGGGTTGCAGATTCTCAGCAGATTTTTTTGACTTAATTATACCTTTGTGCATTCTAACAGCAGGCCATGAATCTCCTGGAAATACGTCTAAAGGGTTTCTGTTATCACTGTCACTGTCCTGGTCTCCTCCTCTCTCCTTGCTAAAAGCACAGGTGGGCATACGTATGTGTGCAAAAAATAATCTCCAAATCATTTTAGCATTTTCTGATTTACTCAGTTGCTCACTCACTCCGTTGCCATTATAGCCTACATCCCATAATAAGCATCAAGAGTGTTATCAGCTGAGATAACAATGCAACATTTACCACCACCTTGGCGTCAAAGATCTTTCTTACTTATCTTTTTCCTTGTGAGCTTTCAGAATCTTATTACACAAAACACATGTCCTTGAACACTGAAAATAATTTCAGATAAATCTGCACCTGAATATCTCTGTACTAAAGGTGTCTCCTAGAGTCTGCCTCTGTCCTCATGTCCCACATCAGCAGATCAGATGAATATCAAAATTATTTTTCTCTATTTTGTTTTATTAACACAATATAATAGAAATCACAACAGAGTGTACAAACTACACTGTAAAAATATATATGTTAGATATTTAATAGCTATAGAATTAGTATTCAGAACTTACAAATAACATCTATAGAATAACACCAAAAAGCAAACAATACCATGTGTATATGAGTGAAGGGTATGAATAAACACTTTACAAAAGAAGAAAACCACTGGCTAATAGCATGAAAACGTTCTCAACTTTATGAATACTTAAGGAAATACATATTAAGATACATAATTAATACTCATGTGAATTTAAAAATTTAACATTTGGTAACATTTAAAAATTATTAAGTATTATTGAAGATGTAGAACAGTGGTACTCTCAGATAGTTCTTTGGGAAGTTTAAATTGGCACAAGCACTTTGAAGAGCTTTTTGACACATGTATTACTGAATATGCACATAATCTCCCACCCAATGATCCCACACGTGCACACACCTCACACTTCTAAATTTTCACATGTATGCACTAGACATATGTAAAAATATTCATTGTAATTTTTTTGCAGTTGTTTAGAAATTAGAAACAATATTTAAAAATTACTTTTCTCTTACATGCCAACTAGGTAAAATGTGAAGGCAAAACATTCTAAGAAAAGAGGAAGTGCAGCATATCCTGTTCAAAAGATAAACATAAGCAGTTTGGAAACTAGTAGTTACAGTGTGGGATCTGAGGAATAGAAGGAGAGAAACCAATTCAAACCTTCCTACTTAAGCAGCAGACCAGCAGAACTCCTTCGATTACAATACAAACTCACTTCAGCACTGCTCCAGAGTGTGCAGGGATGTCGCCCACAGTCAATGGGGCTAGAAACTCGGGAGGGGGACACCTGGCAAGCTGTCCTTTTCCTTCCTGGGGTCTCACGTGTAGGAGAGATACAGCGTACCTCTCAGCTAGAAGAAACAGTCAGTATTACAAGCTACACTATCTAGAGTCAGCCTCATTCTGTGCTGATTTTTCTTGTTTTCATTCATCAACCCAAGGTTGGTTCTCAACCAAGCATGATGATCAAGACTAAATGCCAAGGAAAATACTTTATGGCCCCACTACGGGCCCCACGACATCTCATTTCTGAAGAGTCTGAGATTAAATTCTGTTATGGGTTGAATTGTGACCCTGCCCCCCAAAACACATGTTGGAGTCTTAACACCCAGTACCTGGAAATGTGACTTTATTTACAGATAGGGTTTTTATAGATGGAATCAAGTTAAAATGAGGCCATTAGGATGAGCTCTGGTCCAATATAACTGGTGTTCTTATAAAAAGGGGGAACTTGGACACAGAAATAGACATGCATCGGGAGAAACAATAAGGAGAAGATGGCCATCTACAAGCCAAGGGGAAAGGCCTTTAAGAGATCTTTCCCTCACAGGGAAACTAACTCTTGACACCTTGATTTTGGACTTCCAGACTCCAGAATTGTGAGATTGTAAACTTCTGTCGTTCAAGCCATCTAGCTTGCGGTACTTTATTACAGCAGCCTAGGAAACTAATATGAATCTTAGTTAAACTTTATAGACAATTTGGTTCAAACAGAAGAGAAATTTACAATTGTAGGCATTGTCTGCTGTAAAAATCAAGAACAACTCCTGGACGCCCACCCCCGCAAACCCAAAGCAAGACCCTCAAAATTGCATCTTAAGTTAGATTTATTTATTTCAGTTAATTCTCTCAGAAAGTTAATAAATGTAAACATCGTCTGTCAAATGTCAAAAACTGCTAGGTGAAATATTTTTCTTGATTCAATTCTATTGAATGATGTGGTTCAGAAATGTTCACATGATTATACTAATTTTCATAATACAATGGAAATGGAAAAGATAAAAAATGAGCAATTTTGGATAAAGATGAAATCCATTACACCAGATACTTCATTCTTCTCTTTATGGTTAAGGTGAAATTGCACACAGGGTACTGGGGGGCTGTTAATTGGGTCCCTTATTGATCTCAGATGGACGGATTCTGAGGAATCCTGGATTTCTCTCTGTTACTTTCATTTTTTAGCTCAGTATATTTAGCACATAATTTGATTTCTCAGGACCCTATTGGTCCTGTCTAGAGTTAGAGTTCCTTCCTCTAGGTATTCTTTTGGTTTAAACACTATATAATGTGCCAAGCATGTTCTAGGACCTGAATACATGTTAGTTTCCGTTTTCTTCTGTTCCACCCTCTCCATTGACCAAATTCAGCATGCGTTCAAAACTTTCAGTGCCTCTCTGTGACTCAAACTCCTCATCTGTAAATGAGGGTAACCATAGCACTTACTTCAGCTTTGTATGGTTGTGGGAAGGATGCAATGAGCGATTACACATACAGCACATAGCACCAGGCCAGAAACATTGGAGCACCTGTAACTGTTAGCTAGTAGTATTTCTAGCATTGCCACAAAATTAATAGCTCCCAAAGGGAACAACAGCCACCGCTTAATAACACAACCATTCACCTGAGAATAAAAATGCCAGTAGGCAAAATCTAACAAATTAAACAAATTAGTCATTATTGCTCTAGATGATTTTAGCCTTTACCTATTTGTTCAGGCTATCTTTATTTTCCTGTGTCAGAGACTGAACCCAGCATATGATGCCTACTCAAGACAAACAAGGGACTCAGTATCCCACCTTAGCAGGCCCCCAATCCCCTTTACGCAAATCTACCTTGTACATAAGAGAAAGAAAATGTCCCAGGTGTAATGGATGCGGGGATCTCTAGAGAAGTAGACTGTGTTTATGATCAAAATTTCTTCTCAATTTGTAACCAGTTCGGCTCCAAAGGTAAAGATTAAGTGGAATTCAATGCACCCTGCAAGTTTCAGAGCCAGTACCCAAAGCAAGACCCTCAAAATTAAATCTTTTTTTAAAAAAGATTAATCTTTAAAAGTTTTATTAAATGGAGGAAGAAAAGACTCAGAATATTACATATAGCACAGGCCCTTTTTATTATGGGTACTCTTTTGGTAAAATAATAGGTGTTCCTAAGTAAAAGCATCTAAACTAAAAATATTTACTTTGAGGAATACATATAGATGAGCTAACTATATTCGAAGGAAGTAAGGGAACCAGAGACCTGTGAATCAGGATAGTGGCTGCTTTGGATGGGGAAACAGAAAGATTAGAAGGGGAACAGCCATGTAGCTAGATGGAAATTGTCAAAGTCCTAGCCTTCAGGTTGGATGGTGAATTTACAGGTGCTTACTGAATTTTGAAAAGTAGATACCTATGGCCAGGTGCAGTAGCTCATGTCTGTAATCCCAGCACTTTGGAAGGCTGAGGTGGGTGGATCACCTGAGGTCAGGAGTTCGAGACCAGCCTGATCAACATGGAGACACTCCGTCTCTACTAAAAATACAAAATTAGCCTGGGGTGGTGGCACATGCCTGTAATCCCAGTTACTTGGGAGGCTGAGGCAGGAGAATCGCTTGATCCTGGGAGGCGGAGGTTGCAGTGAGCCAAGATCCGCCACTGAACTTCAGCCTGGGCAACAAGAGCGAAACTCTGTCTCAAAAAAAATAAAAATAAAAAACGATACCTACATAAATGAATGAATGACCAAAGAGGCGCTATGTTCTGCCTCAAGGATTCTGATTAACCTGATTCAGTGCCACTGAGGTCCACTGAGAGGAAAGGGCTGAGCCTGAGGATTGAATGAGGACACTGCTGTCAACCCTTTCATTGTGAAGCCCCCAATGAAAATTAAACCTTGAGTTAGGTTTCAGATAATTTTGTCAGACAGTAAATAAATGTAAACATCATCTGTCAAGTGTCAAAAAACTGCTAGGTGAAACTTTTTTGTTCTTGATTCAATTCTATTAAATGTTGTGGTTCAGAAATGTTCACATGATTATACTAATTTTCAGAATACAGTTTAGATGGAAAAGATTAAAAATAAGCAATCATGAACAAAGGTGGAATCAAGAATAGAAGCTTCAACAACTTTCATCCTAGGCATAACTACAAATGTGAAGTTTCTTGGCTTTTAAGAAATTACTGTTGCAAAACTAAAGAAAAGCCCACTCACTTTTCTTTCTAAATTGAAGCACTAACCAGAGTTACGAGATCATTAAGTCAAGTCTCCACTTAGTTTCATGTGTGCAAAGACAGCTTATATTTAGCCAGGCAACACTACATTAGGAAATCTTTTCCCAAGTAAAGCTAAGTGTGCTGCCCACACAATCATGAATGAGCATCATTGCCAAGGGATAAAAATCTCTCCTGGGCAATGTTATTTAGGCAGCTCTACGACCATGGGGACATGAGAATGGAGCACAGTGGGTATCTTGTAAGATCCTCCTGTAAGGGGATCAATGTTTCTGCAAAGGAAAACATTGAGCATTCTACTTGCACAAGTCCATCGTGGGCACAACAGAGTTTTATTCTTTTTTAACGTCTAAAGGCAGTTTCTGTGTTTGAGATCTCCCATACATCACTCAGTAACTTCAACATAAACTCTGCTTCCTCATGGAAACTTCTCCTCAGGTTACAAAGTACACGAAAACAAGAGGGAGGGAGCGGTTGGGGGGAAATTCCACTCTGTAGTTGGTTCACTTTTATAATTTCAACAACAGTGACATTGATTAGATTTACTCCTATGGGAAAGTTACAGGAGATGGAATTATTGCCCAGTGGTATAGGCTGACTTCCACATCTCTATTTTGGGAATAAATACTCTTTAAGAAATCCTTGAGGTGAATGATTAACACACACCCAGCGCCAAACAACAAGCCAGAAGATTTGCAGAACTGGGCAGTGGAGCTGCGGCGGCACTTCCTGTTCCCTGCTCAGGTTAAAGAGGGGCAGCAGTCCCCTTTGAATCCCAAAATGAATGTCCCCCACAGGGCTCCTGAGCAAATCAGTTCTAGTTGTCTCGGGGTTTCTACTGTAATCGAAAGAGAAATAATGCTTTACTATTTGCCCAGATTTGTCTGTGATTTTTAAAAGGGCAATTTTAATCCAAAGAAGTTTTTCCAGCATATTTAATCAAAATGGGGGCAAGTTGGATAGAAAAGCCTGGAAAGACCACATCTTTTAGAATGTTACTGTGTGAGTTGCCTTATGAAATATTTTCTTTAACAAAATGTTGTTCAGAAAAAGAACGTAAGTCAAGTTAGACTAAGCTGAACCTAGAAAAAACGTAGACACAATGATGCCCATTTAAAAGCAATATTAAAAAAAATTAAACAATCTAGAAGATCCTCTTGCAGACTTGATGCATAGCCATAATAATAGGCATCTTTCCAGTGTCATGAAAGAGGAACGTGCTGCACCCTATAGGCTTTGGAGACAGACAGCTGGAGTTAGAAACAGCTCTATAATGCTCGGTGTGTGATCTTGGGTAGGTATTTAGTGTCTTGAGGCATCTGTTTCTTCATCTGTAAAATGAAGACAACAGAAGCACCTCCCACCTGGGAATATTGACAGTATTGAATGAGATGATGTCGTAAAACAATACGGTGCCTGGTATATAGGAGGAGATAAATACATATTAACTATTATTATTCAAAGATATTGGAAACAAGCCTATTGAGAATGTTATTGACTGTCTAACAGAAATATGAAATGTAATTAACTTTGTGAGGATATACGTATATATGTATATATCCAGAGATGTTGTGTGCACTTAGGAATCAGCTGATCTGGACATGTCTGCAGGATAACAGAGGTGAGTCCTTTAAGGTTGAGTGAAGGATCAAGGGGAATCCTATGAAAAGACTCATCCTAAGTGCCAGAGTATGACTTGAGGACACAGGTCCAGGGTTGGAGAGGGAGAAGGGATTGTGAGAACCACACCATGTCTGCCACTTGGATATTTGGCTTAGCTCCTAAGAAGTCCTTGCCCAAAAGGCATGGTGTGGGAATGTAAATAACAGAAGAAAAAAAAGAAAGAAAGTGGGGGAAATTCACTAAAATTTGCCTGGATATTAAGAGTGCAAAGTGGCAGCTCTGTTCTAGCAGCATTGGCAAGGGTGAAAGACTTTGCTGGGAGCTCTGCAACATGGAGCCAGCCTTCCAGACAAATTAGTGCCCTGTACATTAGTAGCTTTGGGACAGTCATTTTGGGCAGCAGCAGCTGCGGTGTGGGCATAATCAGCAGGCAGCGGTGAGGGAGTCTTCTGGAGGCATTGGCAATGTAACTGATGTGGTCAATGGCTGTTTCTGCAGGGACCCAAAGCATGAAAGAAGGAAATAATGGTTATCAGGTAGCAAAATAGAGGAACAACTGACTGAGCACAGGGGAAACCACTGTGGGGATTCAGAATTTTCTGTACTTATTGCTACAATGAACTCTAGAAAAGGCATTTCACCAGAGTTTGGACAAGCCTTTGAAACCCCAAGCATCCACCAGTGAAAATCGGATTCCATTTTAGCACAGTCCCAGGGTCCTATTCCTGTCCAGTGAGCAGGGTTGTTCACCCGCAGAGCATCCTGGGGTGCCGGCTTGCTGAGACTTGTCTAAGATGTTCATGCCTTTCAGGATCAGGTTCTTCTAGAGCCCAGGAGAATAAGTTGGGTACTTAAGAACAGGGAAGCCAGGAAGCTCATGCTGGAAATGTCATGAGCAAAAGAGAGAATTATCCTTTATCTTGACGCTGCTAACCTGGAAGGCCCATCCTGTAACAGCTGAAGTGAGACAATATGGTATGGCGGAAGGAATGTAGGCTCTGGAACCAGGTGGATCCATGCTCATATTTTAGCAAGAACACTTAGCAGCTTGGCAAGAATGCTTTACCTCTCTGAGTCTCCATTTTCTCCTCTACAGAAGGAGAAAAATAATATCTGTCTTGCTGAGTGTTTGGGAGGGTGAAATAAGGTAACAAACAATGCAAAGTACCTGGCCCAAAGTAAGAATTTAAACAGACTTGCAGTCATGAGAAGAATTGTTTTCTAGCGTGACATTCTATGCAAAGAAGCAGTGTGATGATCCCTCCCCTGGAAAATTATTCTCAAATAGAGGTTAGCCAAGCTGACAAGATTTCTCGGGGATCCTGGTTCTTTAAACTCGTTGGAACAGAAGGGTAAGATGGGCCCAAACGAACCTGCATTTCTCGATCTCCTCTAAGCATGTGGATCCATCCTTCTTCAGCCTGATCTGCGGCCCTCCTTGGACTGGACCTGAGTCGCTGAGGTCCTCCAGGAGCCTCCAGATCACCTGCGGCGTTGTTGTCTCCTTTTAAAAATTATTTATTGAACAGATTATTACATAAAGTAGAATGCAGTAGAGAGATCCCACAGGAACACCGAAGAGATGTTCCAAAGGGCAGAACAGAGACTACAAAATACGACGGAACAGTAACGTGTACACTTCAGGAGGCAGACACCTCGGCTCTCCTTTAAGCTCTACAAGGGACAACGTGGCCCCTTTTGCGTGAAGGGAGGCATTTATGGTGGCCTAGAAAGGCTTTTGGACCAGGCGCAGTGGCTCATGCCTGTAATCCCAGCACTTTGGGAGGCCAAGGAGGGCGGATTGCCTGAGTTCAGGAGTTCACGACTGGTCTGGGCAACACAGTGAAACCCCGTCTCTACTAAAATACAAAAAAATTAGCCAGGCGTGGCGGCGTGTGCCTGTAGTCCCAGCTACTCGGGAGGCTGAGGCAGGAGAATCGCTTGAACTCGGGCTGCAGAGGCTGCAGTGAGCCGAGATCGCGCCATTGCACTCCAGCCTGGGTGATAGAATGAGACTCCGTCTCAAAAAAATAATAAATAAATAAAAATGAAAATAAAAGAAAGCCTTTTGAAAGGAAAACTTAGTTAAAAATCTAGCTCCGTAGGTTGCCAGTCTGTGTAACCTCGGGCAGCCCTTAGCCTTTTGAGACTCAATTTCCTAAAATGAGATGAACAAAAACCCGTAGCTAAGCAGAATATTGCTTTGAGAATCATGTAAAACAATGTTTTCATTTTTCAAGGGAAAAAGCATTGTCATTACCACTGTTTTTAAAGAGAAGAAGGTTTCTTCCCATCCTTCATAAACTCACTCCTTTTTCCACCAGATTTTTGGAGCCAATGCCCCAGCACCATGTGCTGTACTTTTGAGAATTAATTCCAGCTGGAAACATTTACATTTTTACAAAAAGAAAATACTTCTCATTTTAAAGATTCTCATAATGCCAAAAGAGAAACTTTCACTTAGCACTAAAAGTTTGCTGCCCTTACCTGAATGAACTACAGTCGTCCTGTGAAAGGAATAGAAACACACATTTTTGCCTCAATTTTGCATGTGGAAATACAACTGAAAAAAAGAAGTGATTTCTTCAAAGTCACAGATTGAACAGTTTAACATTTGAGATAGAACTGCAAAATACCTTTGGTTTGAATACACAGCTAATATCAAATTTTTATGACTTTATTTAGTACCAATTTGGAATGCATAGCATGACTGAAAAACCTTTATTTTGTAAAAATTATTTTATTTAAAAATAAAAATTTAGGCCAGGTGTGGTGGCTCACACCTATAATCCCAGCAATTTGGAAGACCCAGGCAAGTGGATCACCTAAAGTCAGGAGTTCGAGACAATCCTGGCTAACATGGTGAAACCCCATCTCTACTAAAATACAAAAATTAGTTGGATATAGTGGCTCATGCTGTAATCCTAGCTGCTAGGGAGGCTGAGGCACGAGAATCACTTGAACTTGGGAGGCAGAGTTTGCAGTGAGCAGAGATCACGCCACTCCACTCCAGCCTGGGTGACAAAAGTAAAACTCAGTCTCAAAAAAAAAAAAAAAAAATCAAATGAAAAAAACTTAATTAAAAAATAAAATTTAAAATAACTTTATAAATAAAACTGTATTTAAAACAAACTTGCAGCTTGGGAATGGTGCTTTCTTTTCTCTCCTCTTTAGTTAATGTCGTGAATCCTGTTTCTCTGTTTCAATGCCTCCATGTCACACACATCTGGTCTTTGCCGTCTTGACTGCCCTAACCCTGGCCACTCTGCATCACTTCACACTTGGTTGTTTTAACAACATCCTATTGGCAAACTGTCTCCAGGACCTCTCCTCCCCAGTTCTTCTTTTATATTATAATCTTTTCCCATGAGAACAAGAATCTTGGCCAGGCGCAGTGGCTCATGCCTGTAATCCCAGCACTTTGGGAGGCCAAGGCGGGCGGATCACGAGGTCAGGAGATCGAGACCATCCTGGCTAATGCAGTGAAACCCTGTCCCTACTAAAAATACAAAAAAATTAGCCAGGCGTGGTGGCGGGTGCCTGTAGCCCCAGCTACTCGGGAGGCTGAGGCAGGAGAATGGTGTGAACCCGGGAGGCAGAGCTTGCAGTGAGCTGAGATGGCACCATGAACTCCAGCCTGGGTGACAGAGCGAGACTGTCTCAAAAAATAAAAAAAAATAAAAAAAAAATCTTGTTCTCTGCTATCCCCCAGCATTGAACCAGAGGCACTGGTAGCCTTTGTTTCAATTTTCTCAGGATGTTTGTGTAGCAAACAGCCTTGGAAGACAGATATGGTGTCCCCCTTCAGAATAGCGGTAAGCAGGCTTATTGCTCATTATAAATATTTGAGTTCTCTAAGTTCAGTGTTCCTCTTTTATAATTCAATCAACTGCATACACAGGTGTCACCTGGCCCTCTTCATGGCACCCTGTAGAAATGAGGCTTAGAGAACCGAGACAAATGCGGTGATTCTAGCTACTGGTACTATTGTGCATAATCACCTTCCTTCATCTCTGACCCAGGAGTCTCATGTCTTTTGTCAGCATTTATGAAACTGTGCTAGGCTAACTTGTTACCATGTGAGAATGCTAACCTTCAGAATTCTTTATAATGTTCAACATCATTATCATTAGAGAAACACTAATTGAAGCATCATGAGCTACCTCTACATATCTATTAGAATGACTAAAATAACTTTTTTAAAACCCTGATAATATCAAATGCTGGCAAGGATAAAGAGCAACTGAACTAGTGGGAATGCAAAATGGCACAGCCACTCTGGAAAACAGTTTGAAGTTTCTTATAAAGTTAAACATGCACTTACATATGACACAGCAATCTCACTCCCAGGTATTTAACCTAAAGAAATAAAGATCTCATGGTCACACAAATATCTGTAAACTAATGAGAGTAGTTTCTCTATTCACACTTGCCCCAAACTATAAAAAATTGAAATGTCCTTAAATGACTGAATAGATAAATGAATTGTACATCTATACAATGGTCTACTACATGGCAATATAAAGGAACATGCACTATTCACAACAGCAGAGGCATGGAATCAACCTAAATGCCCATCACTGATAGACTGGATACAGAAAATGTGGTACATATACACCATGGAACACTATGCAGCCATAAAAAAGAATGAGATCGTGTCCTTTGCAGGGACATAGATGGAGCCGGAGGCCATTATCCTTAGCAAACTAACACAGGAAGAGAAAACCAAATATTGCATGCTCTTACTTATAAGTGGGAGCTGAACAATGAGAACACATGGGCACATAGAGGGGAATAAAACACACCGGGGGTGGGGGGGCCTTTTGATGGGTAGAGGGTGGGGAAAGGGAGAGGAAGAAAAACTACTAATAGGTACTAGACTCAATACCTGGGTGATGAAATAATCTATACAACAAACCCCCATGACACAAGTTTACCCATGTAACAAAAGTACACTTGTACCCCTGAACTTAAAAGTTTAGAAAAGGAATAAATTATAGAAACACAGAGAAGCATGCCTTAATCTTATGCTGGGTGAAAGAAATGAGTCTCAAAAGGTTACGTATGGTGTGATTTCATTTATATAATATTTTCCAAAAGACAAAACTATGTAAACAGAGAAGAGATTTATGATTTACAAGGATTAAAGGTATGGGGGAAGTGTGACAAGGGATGGATAGCATGAGGAAGTTTTAGGGGAGTGATACATCTGACCATGTGTTAAGAGTCAAACAACTGTGCATCCAATAGTCCATTTTACTAGATATTACTTTAAATAAATAAAAATTTTAAAGTGTCACTAAAATGCTCACCAATGTGCTTCTAGCCACCATTTCACAAGTTTCTAAATCATGCATACATTTTTTGAAAAATACTTGGCATATAGTAAAATGCACAGCTCTTAATTGTACAGGTCAACAAGTTTTGACAAACAACAAATGTCTAACTTTTGACATACAATCTGTTTCTTTTGAGAAACTTGTACCTATTTTTTGTCATACTCTTACCATGAACACTATTATAGCACATCTTATTTATGCTGTGACATATTTTCTTATCATTATTTTGTCTGTTTATTTGTCCTTCATACTCTATAGTTTACTCAAGGGTAAAAGGTAACAACTTAGTCTGAGTTAATCCCTCTCATCTGAATGAATACTTGAGGACAGTATTTTTTTTCATCCATAAGACCCCACATTTTCATTCTTTTTAATACCACAAATATATCCACATACTATTAATTTACAGAAAGTTTAGGAGGTTGCACTAAAACTTTATAAGCTCAGTGTTCAGCATAGCTTTAAGATTGTAGAGCCAGCTATAGGTAGTATAATGAAACATAGAAAAAAGCCTCTTATATAAATATATGGCAAAAAATAAACATCTCAAATGTATTTCATCTGCTCTCTGTATACCATACTCTTTCAAATATATTAATAGAGCATTCCTAAGCTGTTTAGTCAACACAATTATAGCAATATGCAAAAGTTTTATAACCAATAACTTGCAGCATGACAATATTGAAAGCAGGACCAAAACTAATTCAGTGGTCAAGAAAATCAGAAATAAAAGTCAGAGCTTATTTCAGCCAGTCTCAAATGGACTTGCAGTCAGAAAAAAAAAAAAAAAGATAATTAAGTAGCTTGAAAGGAACATAAATGTCATACGATAAATTTTATTCACAGACAATACAAATGAAATAGAAACCCGTTCAAATAAGCACAACCGTTTTACAATTCTTTTCCATTTAACCCTGAAGACATCTAGTGACAGGACCAAGCCTGTTCTTTAACCAGTCAAGCAAGTGAAAAATATGATCGATACTGTAAAGAGAAAAACCTCACCCCAGCAATCCTGGCTTTGAGAATGACTGTGCTTCTTGAGTAACAGGAAGGGCATCTCTGTGATCAATGGTATAACACTTCCCCATGTCTGGTTTAGCACTTTTTGAGATCTAGTGCTAACCTAGGTCTAGCAGTTAACCTGTTTGCTTATTGACTCCTTCTTTCCAGATTCCAAATTGCCGGAAATATAATGAGTGTCTCAGAAATAACTGCTTGAGGCATTCCCAAAGGTGGATCCTCCCTTAGTATGCTGGGAGCATAATGTAATTTGAACCCTCTTTTGGCTTCCTGCTTTTAATTTATTATCAAAATAATATGTCATACATATAAAATGGAGGAGTCTCATTTAATTGGATTCTGTAAGACGTGTGACTTTCCTCATCTGCCCACTTCACACAGCAGAGCCCTGGCAGCAGATGTTAGGTGGGGCACACCTTACCTGCTCAGGCTTCTACCTTCATAATACTGGAAAAACATCCCTTTATTTCAGGACTTTATAAATAGAACAAAATCAGTTAGTTCAACTGAATGCCCCATTCCTATGGTATCAACATAGCTACACTAAGCAGCTAACCTAAGCGTTAGTATGTTTAAAACAATTTGCAGATCACAAACAGGGCTGTTCTTGTTTTAGCCCCTATTCCTCAATTCAGAGGAACTGGTGCCGTAAGTACTCAAGCAGGCGTAGCTTAGAGAAAAGTCTTTATTCTATTTCTGTCCAGGCCCTGTTTATTTTCAGCTATCCTGGTTTTATGACATGCATTAATCGCATTCTGGGGACTATGTTGTTTAATTTACCATCACGATTCCTTGTCGGGATTTCTCTCCTAATGGCAGAGCAGTGGCAGGGTCTTTGACTGCAAATAATCAAGGTTCAGACTTCAGATTCTCTACTCATTAGGTGCGTGACATTTAATCTCTCTGTGCCTCAGTTTCCTCACATCTAAAAATGGAGATAATAATAATATCTGCCATATAGATTTATCATGAGCATCAAATGAATTGGCATATAAAATGCTATAACAGAGCTGGTAGAGAGAGGAAACTCCATAAATATTAGCTATTGCTTATTTGCCAAATAGTGAACCACATTGAGCCTATTGACAATGGGAGGTCTGGATAGCATGAGGCCACAGATGAAAAGATGTGAAGGAAAAAGGGTGTGGCATAGAACTTTATGGTTCAAGTTTTAACTCTTATGGGACGTCTTTTCTATGCAGAAATCCTTCCACGTGTGGAAAGATGTTTCTGAACCCTCCTACTTCAACACATGCAAACGACAGCAAGAGAGAGCCTTATTCGGCTTGGTGTCTTTAGTGCCTGGAACAGGTCTGCATATAGCAGACGCTCAATGGATGTTTCTTGAACAAAAGTTGCCGCCTGTAATCCCAGCACTTTGGGAGGCCAAGGCAGATGGATCACTTGAGGTCAGGAGTTCGAGACCAGCCTGGTCAACATGGTGAAACCCCATCTCTACTAAAAATACAACAAATTAGCCAGTCATGGTGGCATGTGCCTGTAATTCCAGCTACTTGGGAGACTGAGGCATGAGAATAGTTTGAACTGGGAAGGCGGAGGTTGCAGTAAACCAGGATCACGAAGCTGCACTCCAGCCTGGGTGATGGAGTGAGCCTCTGTCTCAAAAAAAAAACAAACCAAAACAAAAAATAAAACTTGCTGACTGGGTGGGATACTAGCTATGGGAACAATTATTCTATTCTTATGCCTAGCTCAAATTTCTTCCTATAATCTGGGTACTATAAAACTCAATAGAAGGGATCAAACCAAAAGTTTTGAGAACACTTTCTGCACAGCCTTGGAGAAGAAGGAGTCTGCAGGTAGAAGAGTAATTCCAGCAAGTTACCCAAATGAGAATGTCACAAAAGCAATCAACGCAGGACCCAGCTTGAGAGGCTGTTGACATTCTGTGTAATTATTGCAAGTGCACCCTGGGTAGTCCACATTATTGTAAACTGTATTTCCAACAATGTGTGGCATTAATTTTTTAAAAAAAGAAAGTAATGAAGTTATAGCTATTAGCAAAGCTGAATTGGAACTCCTAGAAAATGTCAAGGAGATCTTAATTGTACTTTATGTAATGGTCTCCTAGGCTAATAAGATATGATCTAAAACCATTAGGTATGAGAAGGTAAACATTTTAAGAGCACTTTTTTTTTTTTTTTTTTTTTGGCCAAAAGGCTCTTCATCTTTATTTGACAACTCTCGCTTGGCCTTGAGGTAAGCATTGCAGTGTTCTGAAATAACAGATACTGTTTGTGACACAGGCAATGAGGCCCTGCGGTGTGGGAGCGTATTCAAAGATAACACTTATGGAGCAAAGATGTCTATAAATCTGATTCTTAAGTCTCACATCACCGCTCCACACCCCCCACCCCGGCAGAGAGAATGGGCAGGCATGCTCTAAAAGTTATTAGCATGTCACGTAGCATGCAATTCTAAAATGCTGGGAAACACCCATTACTCTAACAAGCTTCAGAACACATAAATCTATTTAACCTTATAAATGACTGAGATTCATTCTCTCAAGGTCGGAATCTCTCCAACAGAGAGCCATATATTCATGTCGTGTTTTTTTTGCAAGAAGCTTTTGAGCTAAGACAGTTGATCCCTGAATCCCTGTAGCTGTTGGAAATTTTACAGAGTCCCTGCTCTCAATAATTGATGAAAGTCACCAGCAATCAAATAGATAGGTCAATGTTACCTTCTCCTAGAGTTCCCCAATCTTATTCGCTATTTCTAGCTCAAGGAGTATACTTTTTACCTTAGCTCTTCAATAGTTAGAAGTGGCCAGTGGCTACAATTTGCAATTTGGTTCTGTTTGTAAACACAGATTAGAAATCGTTGTTAGGATATGTGGGCCTTGGTTCCAGTTTGTCTCAGTCTTGTGTGTATTCTGGCAAGCAACCTAATGCCTCTTTATACCTTTGTTTTTCTATTTGTACAAGGGGGGAACATTACCACTAAATGAAATTTGTATAGTGCTTTGGGACACCTGCACAAATTATGCTGTTTCTAACAGATATTAAGATGATATTTGTTTAATCTACTACAAAGTCTGAATAATACTTTCCTTAATGCTGGTTGAGTAGTGTTTACCAAAGTGTGGTTGTTTCATTAAACATTAGCTCTTCAGGATTAGATGTTACATGAAACGGCCTACTTTTGTGAAATAAATTATGAAACCCTAAGGTAAACAAAGTTAAACAAAGGCCTTTGCTACAGGACTTCTCAGAGCCTTTAACATGCTAATGATCATTATGAATCTCCTAGATGGCTATGGTTTCTAGTGTTTCCCAAACTTATTCAACCATAGCATTTTTGGTGAGGTTGAGGGGACTTTTTTTTTGAGGTTACAGGAAAATTTTTTGTGAAACGCTTGGCAGAAGAATAAGCACCATTAATAAGTGCAGTTCAAAACACTTAAAGAGGAAGCCCAATGTTGAAAAACAGCTCTGTTCTTCGAATATTATAATAGGAGCAGCCTTAGCTGACCTGCACTGAACTAACTCACCAGACCAGCTTGTCATCACCCTGTAAAACATACTGGTTGAATCATATTAGATTGCTGGTTTTGTGGGTCAAGAAATGCTAGAATAACCGGCATTTTCATGTATTTCTACTTGATAAAAAAGTGTCCCAGGTAGATTAAGCCCTTAGGGCTAGCAGGTTAAATTCTAGTATAAATGCCGGCAAACTTCCGCTCCCACCACTTGAATTATGCTTATCAGGATCAGTTGTGTTCGTTTCCATATATTTCATGACAGTTGTGCTAGTTCTTATAATTACATAATTCAATTAGATATTACATAAGCCCATAGAATGTAAATATGAGTATGCTGTTGTTGATTCTATCACAATTAGATTGAATGCTTATCAAGACTCATTTCAGTGAGATTTAAAAATTGCCATTAAATGAGGTGTAGGTGAAATACTCTAAAAGGTTAAGTGGGGATGGGCACGGTGGCTCATGCCTGTAATCTTAGCACTTTGGGAGGCTGAGGTGGGTGGATCACCTGAGGTCAGGGTTCGAGACCAGCCTGGCCAACATGGTGAAACCCCGTCTCTGCCAAAAACACAAAAAATTAGCCGGATGTGGTGGCGGGCGCCTGTACTCTCAGCTGCTCAGGAGGCTGAGGCCCAAGAATTACTTGAACCAAGGAGGCAGAGGTTGCAGTGAGCTGAGATGGCTCCAGTGTACTCCAGTCTGGGTGACAGAGCGAGACTTTGTCTCAAAAGAAAAAAAAAAATTTAGATATATATATAATGGGGGAATCATAAACGTGTGGAAGTCTTCATTATGTATAGTAAGTTATTTTTAATTCTCACTGAGCAATAAAAAAACTGACACTGGAAATTAAGGATAATATATTATGGCTATGGTTTACAGAAGAAAGATTCAGAATTGCTACCAGAAGATCCATTCTGAAAAAAAGGACCTTGATCCTATGTCAAGAGATTGATGAATATAGTGGGATTATATCCAAATACTCTATTAACTGGTAAGGTTTTGACATTGACCAAGCAGAACAAATGTCTGCCCCATCAGAAAAGATGCTCAAATTTAAGTAATTATATAGCCATGTCAGTGCATGCTGGCCAAATGTCAGCTCTGCCTACAACTATTTTACATTGAAGTATAAAATTTTGATAGTTTTCATCATTTTTAAATGATTCCTTGTTTCAGTTAAGTGTTTTGTTTATCTGACCAAATGCTACTCCTGATTATCTCAGAAGACTTCTCCTAAATACTACTACTGTCAACAGTAAGAGAACCAAGCACAATACAGTTTCCAAAGTACTGTTCATATATTTTATCCCCTTTAATAATCAGGAATAGAAGAAGTTTGGTTCCTGTAAGCAAATGTCTCAGAAGAATCCTTCTTTGAAGCTGCCACAAAAGCAGGTGAGGGCTATAGAAATCAGAATTTAATAACATAAATTATTTCCTTGTTAATCAAGCATTTGGTAAAAGGATTCCAAAAAGATTTGGAACCTGGATTTCAGGTTGGGACAGAGCAAATACTCAGAATATGTGAGGTCATTCCTGACCATACAGCAGCACTCGGTTGGAGAAATTTGAAGGAAATTGGAGGGTAATTGTGCTGCGTGTGTGAGTGTCCAGGTGAATGTTCTTCACACTCTAATCATCATTAACCTACAGGACACAGAGGACTGTCCAGCTATGTCACTGAACCACTACCCAGCAGTGTAGAAACCAAGAGTAAATCCAGACTCAAAGGAAAAATATATCAGAATAAATTCTGATTCACAATGACAAAAACATAATAAGGCCTACCCACAATAGTTTTTAATTAGTGGGAAATAATACATTTAAGGGTAATTTAAGTGTCCTTGGAGGCAGATAAAAGTAAACAATTGCAACAATGATTTTGTTAAACTGAAAATATCATAGTCATACCCAGGCTTTATTTTCCTTAAATTTCACTTCTTTGAAGTCAGTCATCTCTTCTTTTGAGATATTAGTTACTGCTTATCTGTGCCTAGAGGGAGTCCGTGAGTTAGAAGTTACCATCGCCACCTGAAAGTGGCCACTGGCGCTGGAGGCCTCATGCTGAGCTATGGATTAGAGTCACTTGTGGAAGTTTACACTAATACTGATGCTGGGTGCCACTCCCATGGTTTCTGAATCAACTGGTCTGCAGTGCCATGGGGGCACCTGGATTTTAAAAGCTTCCCACCTGAAGTGTTGTGAGTGGACCACGGGCGTCCGCATCACCTGGTAACCCCTTAGACATGCTAGAACTCAAGTCCCACCCTAGACCTACAGAGAATCAAAACCTGCATTTTAACAAGACACTGGGCATGAATTGTAGGTACTGTAGAGTTGCAGAGTCTGGATAACTCTTTCTTGAAGTATTGTTAGAGAACCTACATGAGAATCACCTGATTTTAATTTAAAAATTACAAATATTTTGGGCCCCAACTTAGCTCCTGAATGAGAATCTCTGGGGGTGAGGGTAGGAAATGAGCCTGGGGAATCAGCAGTTTAGCCGTCACCCAGGTGAGTCTTAGGAGCATCTAAGTTGAGAACAGCTATTCTAGAGAGTGTCTTAAAGTTCTTTCTAATGTTAAGGCCTTGGATCTGAAAGGCTGTGCGAGGGGTTGTAAGCAGGTCAGAGAGGGCCGCTGCAGGTATTAACAGGTACAGGCAACTCAGCCATGGAGTGGCACCCTCTGCTTCCTAATTCAAATTAATACTCACTTTAAAGAAGATGCTCAGACCATCTGCCCTGGGGCCATTTGTTCCCGTTCTTTTTAGGAATAAATCAGATGTAAGGGAATAATCTGAGATGTTCACTTACCTTTCCTTAGGTGCCAACAGTTAACTGATGTTTTGGGACCAGTTGCAGTGTTTTTGTTCCACATCCTAATTTAAAATATACATTCTTGCTATATGTTATTGATATGTTATTGATAAGGACCTAAGAACCTCTTATAGAAATGATTGACACAAGCTTGTCTAAATATTTTTTCTACTCATACTCTGAGCAAGTTCAGCATAAATACAGGAGGAGTCCTCTTCTATGACAGCTGCCCCAACACAACCACAGAGGTAGCATAAATCAAGCCATAGCCTGCATAATGTAATTTGCAAAGAACAATGCTATACAGTACAAGTCTTACAAGGCTTCTCCTATGGGTGTGAAGATCATCCCTTGTTATGGACTGACTGTGTTAGTCCCCCCAAATTCATATATTGAAATCTAATGCCCAGTGTGATGGTTTTTGAAGGAGGGGTTTTTGGAGGGTAATTAGGTCATGAGGATGGAGCCCTCCCGAATGGGATTAGTGCCCTCATAAGGAAAGGCCAATGAGCTAGCTCACCTTCTTTTCACAGTGCGAGGATATATAAGAAAGTCAGCAGTCTGCATGGAAAACTGGGCATGGATCGTACCCAGCTGGTATCCTTATCTTCAACTCCCAGCCTCCAGAACTGTGAGAAATAAATGGTTGTGGTTTAAGCCACCTAGTCAATGGTACTTTGTTAGAGCAGCCTGAACTAAGACATCTCCCGTTTTCAAAATAAAAAAGAATTCCATTACCCTTTCTTCATTTATTCTAGGAACTAAGGCACATATTCATCAGCTCATGACCATGAATTTAAACAAGATCTTTTTGGTTTAGGATGAGTCTTCCAGGGCTGCCATAACAAATACCACAAATTGAGTGGCTTAAATAATGAAAATATATATAATGAATATATTCTAGAGGCTGGAAACTGGATAGTCAGGTGTCAGCAGGGCAAAACTCTCTCTGAAGACTCTAGGTGAAGTTTTTTCTCCGCCTTCTCCTAGTTTCTGGCAGTTGCTAGCAATCCTGGGCATGCCTTGTCTTGTCCAGGATTATTATACTAGAGCTTTTATATATCACACTACAATGTAACTGCCTAGCTGTTTATCCTTTTCCACCACTATATTATAAACTCTTTGAGGGAATGAATAGGGTGTTGTTATTTGATCCATAGTACCTAACTCATTGCTTGACTCAAATGGAGTGGTCACTCTACAAGACCATTCCATGTTGTCACGTGTTGTTCTCCCTGCATCTTTATCATCCTCCCTGTGTGTGGCTGTCTCTATATCCCCTCTCTTTTTCTTATAAGAACACTGGGCATACTGGGTTAAGGGCCCTCCCTACTCCAGGATGGCCTCATCTTAACTAACTGCATCTGTAATAACACTATGTCCAAATACAGTCAGGCTCCATATCTGGGGGTTCTGCATCTGCAAGTTCAACCAACTGCAGGCTGAAATACTGTATTTGAAAAAAACAAAATCAGCAAAAAATAACAATATAATAAAAAATACTACAAGTAAAAATGTAGTATAACAACTACTTACATAGCATTTACATTGTATTTTGTATTATAAGTAATCTAGAGTTGATTTAAAGTATGTGGGAGGATGTGTGCAGGTTATATGCAAATGATGCATTATTTTAGATAAGGGACTTGAGCATCCATGGATTTTGGTATCCAAGGGAGTCCTGGAACCAATCCCCCTTGGATACTGAGGTATGGCGATGATGTCACATTCTGAGGTTCCAGGAAGGACGTGCATTTTGTAAGGGCATAAAAACTCAGCAGTTTTATTTCATTTTATCATTTTATTATTTATTATTATTTTCTCCCTTCATCCCCTTCCCATTATTTTCCCTCTCTATTGATAGCAACTTTTGATTATATTTAAACATATGTCCTTTCATTCCACTTTTCTTATCTTTTGTTTAGATAAATGTGCCTCCTTGAAAATGTCTTGAATAGTATTGACTAGATTGTCTTCCAGGGTTTTAATAATTTTGAATTTTACTGTCTTTAATCCATCTTGAGTTAATGTTTATATATGGTGTAAGGAAGGGGTCCAGTTTCAATCTTCTGCATGTGGCTAGCCCGTTCTCCCAGCACCATTTATTGAAAAGGGAGTATTTTCCCCATCACCTGTTTTTGTCAGACTCATTGAAGATCAGATACTTGTAGGTGCGTAACCTTATTTCTGGGTTCTCTATTCTGTTCCATTGGTCTATGAGTCTGTTTTTGTACCAGTACCAGGCTGAGCTCTGTCATCTTGATACGGAGCTTCTGTGATAAGCAGAGCAGGGCGAGAGAAAAAAACTTACATCTTTCTTTTATCCTCTGGCCCGGAAGTGACTCAGGTCCCTCAGGTTTAAGCTCATTATCCAGGCTTAGTCACATGTCCCTACCTAACTGTAAGGAACACTGGGAAATGCAGTCTTTCTGTATGCTCAGAAAAAGGAAAGGGAAAGAAACAGAGAAAAACAGTGTTGCCTCTGATATAGAAAAGAGTAAGTATATCTGAGTTTGTGGTGCTGCCAAGGAGGTTAACTTTGATTTCGATTCTAAATAGAAACTATTTTAACCAGCTTTAAAGAAATAGGTTTTGATAGTGAGATTGATAATAAAGTGGGCTTTTTGGGGTTTTGTTTAGTTTTTTCTTTTAAATTTTCTAGGCTTCTCACTTCCTCCCTCCTCTAAGTTTAATTACTGTATTGGAGCCATTCATTGTTAATTTTCACTCCTCCCATAGGTACTGAGCACAAAATACACAATCAACAAAACATACACTTATCAAATTAAAGGATGAAAACTTTAAACTCAATCCATCCTGACACTTGTGTTATTAAAGATTTAATGAGGAAAGAGATAAAAAATAAGTAGAAAGTTCTACTAATAACTAATGACTTAATTTATCCATGTCTTTCATCTTCCCCCAAAGTAGCCATAATTAAGGGTTGATGATGTCATTATTCATAATACGTCTATTTGTATTTCCCTTTCAACTTTGCAAAGCATACTGTATCTGTCATCTCATGGTATCCTCACCACCACCATGTGAGGAGAGTAAGGTAGACATTATCCCTGTTTGGTAGATTAGGAAATTAGAATACAGTGATGTTAAGTGAGCTGCCTAAGATCCTCAACCAATCTTGATGTTGTCACTGGAAGCCAGATCTCCTGATTTCTTGTCCTATGCTTTCTCCACACTAGAAACTCGCTTCAGAGCAAGAGTATCCTTAGAAGCAAGATAATAAAGTCTACTCTTTAATCTTTCACATGGAGAACTCCAAGTTGGCCATAATAATTTCAACATTTTAAAAAACTATCTCATCCCAGTGAGTGCATTTCTGTAAACTATTCTGGATCTGGGTATGATATAAGACTTAGCTGTACAGAGAGAGTCTGTACAGGGGTTGGCAAAGATTTTCTGTAAAAGGCCAGATAGCAAATGTGGCTTTGCAGTCATATGGTCTCTATTCCATGCTCATCGTTTAAATACATATAATATTTTTAAGACAAAAATCATTTTCACTCCCAGGCTATTCAGCAATAGGCCTTGGGCTATATTTGTCCCACAGGCCTTAGTTTGCCAGCCATGATTTTGGACTGCCAACCATCGTGGTGTTCAGAGTGCCCATGCACCTGACTCTGCTGCAGCATGAACTTGTTCCTGCTGCTTTCCTGCAGGCATTCAGCGTGCCTTGGGTTACCTGTTTGGCAATTTCCTTTAATGTCACAAATAACCCACTTTTGGGTGAGATATGCCACAGTCTGTCTCTGAATTTCTTGCCCAGCTAGGTTGAGGTGCAGTGTCTCCCTTCTGGTACATTTCTGGATTTGTGACAGGGGTTTTGTGAGATGTTTTTTGAGCTCCCCTTGCAGCTAGGAGGCATGGTGTGTGATGCTTCCCTTCTTCTCTAGACAGCTGAACTTCTGCTGCCTATTTTCTGATCTTGAACCTCTCCACAGAGCTCTCTCTACCTCCTTTTATAAATTTGTTCCCCACCTACCATACCCCCTTTAAAAAAAATCCTCTTCATTATCTCTTGTGAAAGTCAGTGAGAGTGGAGTTTGGGGTATCTATGTAGTCAGGCATTGAGTATAACCCAGGTGATGATTAAACATCAGGGTGCCTCCCAAAGCCTTGCCTGTTTTTTTTGCTACTAAAGCCATGGTAGTAGCGGGCAAGAGCAATACCAGAATGTTAAGAGGCCACTCATCTCAGGAAATCCAGGCATGCCTGTCAAAGATATATGAGCTGCATTCACACTCTTGAATGGGAATCAATCAGTTTTTATACATCCCAGCACTTTGGGAGGCTGAGATGGGTGAATCACTTGAGGTCAGGAGTTCGAGACCAGCCTGGCTGACATGGTGAAACCACATCTCTACTAACAATACAAAAATTAGGTCGGTGTGGTGGCATGTGCCTATGATCCCAGCTAATCGGGAGGCTGAGGCAGGAAAATTGCTTTAACTCGGAAGGCGAAGGTTGCGGTGAGCAGAAATTGAGCCACTGCACTCCAGTCTGTGCGACAGAGTGAGAGTACAGTTAAAAAAAAAAACAAAACAAAACTGTGGGCCAATTCTGGGAGGCCGAGGAGGGCAGATCACCTGAGGTCGGGAGTTCAAGACCAGCCTGACCAACATGGAGAAACCCCATCTCTACTAAAAATACAAAAAATTAGCCAGTCGTGGTGGCGCATGCCTGTAATCCCAGCTACTCGAGAGGCTGAGGCAGAAGAATTGCTTGAACCCAGGAGGCCAAGGTTGTGGGGAGTCGAGACTACGCCGTTGCACTCCAGCCTGGGCAACAAGAGCGAGACTCCATCTCGAAAAAAAAAAAAAATTGTGGATAGTATGTTTTTCTATGCAGAACATATTTTAATCATTCAACAAATATTTGCAATCCACCATAACTCAGGCATTGTTTAAGTTTCTGAGTTATAAAGAGGATTGGTATGTGGTACCTCCCTAAGGAGCCTATACCTTTGAAAGGGATAAATACAGGGACTATTAAAATACAGAATGAAAGGACAAATACAGAAATCTGTGGGAGCTTCATGAAGTATGGAAGAGATTCCTAATTTTTCAGGTGGGAAAAACAGCTAGTAAAGATGTCAGAAAAGAAGTGTTGTCTGA
Source organism: Homo sapiens (assembly GCF_000001405.40). Lineage (NCBI taxonomy): Eukaryota > Metazoa > Chordata > Mammalia > Primates > Hominidae > Homo > Homo sapiens. The sequence goes on along the minus strand of NC_000013.11, from coordinate 73,599,732 downwards.
GCTGAGTAGAAGAGAAAATGAGAAAAATGGTCAAGAGAAGGGGCAGTAAGTGCCCAGAGATGTGGTAGAGTATGATGTAAGACCAGAGCTATCCAGAGCATAGGCTGACTTGCTAGATAAAATGTGGTGTCGAGGTAGGAGGGGTGAGTGATAAAGCTAGCAAGGTAGAAATGTGCCAGAATATACTCCATGCCAGTGTAAAGCTTCTTTGTTAATCCCAAAGAAAATGATGAGCAATAGTTCCAGGGTAGTGGCGCCATAAGGTTTGTGTTTCTGAAAGACACCTTGGGCTGTGATGTGGAGGTTGGACTGATGAAATCTATGACTGCATTGGGTTATTGCGCTAGTCCAGCAAAAGATGATAAATACTGGAGATAGGGAAATAACAGAGGAAGTAGCAAAAGGGAACAGGTTCAAGAGATGATTAGGAAATGACAGGACTTCGTGACTGACTATGAGTGTGAAATAGAGAAAATCTGGAATAATCTCCATGTGAATGGCTTGGAAGTTTGAAAACAACGTTGTAATCCAACAACACTATGAACACCAACAGGAGCAAAAGGGAAACTAGGAGGCTAGATTTACTCCATTTTGTCCATGCAGATGCAAAAATCCTCTGGGATATCCAAGTGAAAGACATTCCATATACAGTTGGAAAAACTGGTTTGGAGGTCAAAAGCAATGACTTGGCTGGAGATATTTGGGAAATGTTGGTAAGCAGTTGTTGGTTGAGACTGTGGATTTAGATGTGATTGTTCAAAGAGAATATGGAGCTTAAGAATTGAACAGGAAAAAGGACAAAACCCCAAGAAGCCCCAACTTTTTAAGGCTCAAAATCCTGCAATGGCAACAGGAAATCAAAAGGAATGGTCAGAGAAATGGGAATATCACTAGAAATGTGTGCTGTTGTGGAAGACAGGAATGCAAAGAGTTTGAGTCTGGTGAGATAAAAATGAAAATCATTATTTTATGTAAAAAATAGAGGGTTACTTTTAAAAAACAGTTCTGTAGAGTAGTGGAAAGGGAAACTAGATTGGAATGATCTGACCAGTGAATAACTAAAGGAGATAATGTTAATAGTGGATATACGGTTTGTGAACCACTTTGGATACAGTAAAGAGTCATGCAAATACAGCCATGAGTCACTCAGTGATGGAGATACCTTCTGAGAAATGTGTCGTCAGGAGATTTTGTCATTGTGCAAACATTGGAGAGTGTTCTTACAAAAACCTAGATGATATAGCATACTACATACCTAGGTTATGTGACATAGCCTATGGCCCCTAGGCTACAAACTTGCATAGTATATAACTATACTGAATACTGTAGAAAACTGTGGTGCAGTGTGGAGTGTTTTTGTTTCTAAACATAGAAAAGGTATAGCAAAAAAATAGTATTAAAGATAAAAAGTGGTACACCCATATAGGGCCCTTACCGTGAATGGAGCTTGTGAGACTGGGAGTTGCTCTGGGTGAGTCAGTGAGTAAGTGGTGAGTGAATGTGAAGGCTTAGGACATTACTGTCCACTACTGCAGACTTTATAAACACTGTACACTTAGGCTACACTAAATTTACAAAAAATAATTGTGCAATGATTTAACTGCTATGATGCCACTAGGCAATAGGAATTTTTCAGCTCTATTATAATCTTATGGGATCACCATTGTATTAATATGTGCAGTCCATTTTTAACTAAAACATCCTTCTTCAGTATGTGACTGTATAAAATAGGCTTCTATCAATGTACAATCTCAGGTGTAGCCTCTGAATTTGGACCTATCCTTTAAGAAAACTAATCTCTCTATATTTAATTTTCTTATCTCAATGATAAGAGAATCATAAATGATAGAATCAATAGATTGGTAGTAGAAGCTAAATCAACACTTTATCCTCAATACAAATCCCACCTACAACTCTATCCATCCTCTGTAGTGAACTCATTATCTTAAGAAGACTCCTGTCCATTTACTGTACAGCTCCAGTCATTAAAGGCCCTTTCAGGACTTTCTGTTATTATGTCCTGTGGCCTCTTCCCAGCCCTAGATGGTTCAGGGACCTTCCTTTCTTGCCTGCAGGTACATCTCAGACATTTGGTCTCTGCCACCACTATCCCTGCCCTGAAGTTTGAGGATCAAGAAATCATATCCTCACCTCTCCTTTACTATGTGATCAAAGGTGATCATATATGTTTGTATCAAGAATTTTGGAGGAGAATACTGAATAACCAGAATCTCTATGTGTGGCGTAGGAGCAGGGAATATAATTTGGAAGAATACTCCATTTGATTCTAACACACCAGCCATCCATCTTAGTTAAAAAAAAAAAACATATTTTGTTTTTCTGTTTTCAGCTATATCATCATTAAAAATAAAAAGAAATCTGTTATGGGCTGAATTGTAGCCTTCCAAAATTCCTATATTAGAGTCCTAGCTCCCCAGTGGCTCAGAATGTAACTGACCTTGGAGATAGTGTTTAAAGAGGTAATTAAGTTAAAATGAGGTCATCAAGGTAGGTTAATCCAATATAATGGGTGTCCTAACAAGAAGAGGAAATTTAAACACAGGTACAAAGGGAAGGCCATGTGAAGACATGGGGAAAAGACAGCCATCTGTAGGCCAAGAGAGAGGCCTCAGAAAAAGCCAACCCTGCTAACACCTTGGTTTCAAACTTCTAGACTCCAGAATTACAACAAAATAAGTTTTTGTGGCTTAAATCACCAAATGTGTGGTATTTTATTTTGGCAGCCCAAGCAAACTAATATATAATCTAATTAAAACATTGATTCCATTCTGTGACTAGGGCATTTTAAAGGGTTTCTAAGTGATTTCTTTGTTAATCCTATCTAGAATTGTCTCTAGAGTCAATAGTAAACCCAGTTTATGGCATGTGGTTTGCAAGATCTGTTTTCTTCATCCCTTTAAAAATTGGAGATGTACATATATTCAGCCTTTCAGCACCTCTCTTGTCCTCCACAGATCACTAACACAAGCTCATTTTGTATCCAGAGTGTAATCTCAATGGGTAATGAGATTCAAGCTCATTAGAGTAATTATGTACTCTCTTTTTATCCCTTAACTAATCTCAGACTTCAGTTGTTTTTCTCAAGTGTCTTCCTTCTTTCCAGCCAATCATGTCGACAGAGATGATAAAAGCAAATTAGAATGTGGCCAAGTTCATCTTCTCTCTGTCATCTTTCACAGGAAGTGGGCTTTAGGAAATTCTTGTTCTTGTTCTGACTATATTTAAATTTGCAGTGTTTTGCATTTTTGTTAGCTTTATCTTAATCTGGGCTTTACTCTGTCTACCCTATTCTAACAGGTTGAGGGTGCTCTTCATGTGTTTCTGGATGATTTTTCTCTCCTGCCCTCTTTTGTATGATGGAAGTATTGAACTTGGTTGGAGTCAAAGCATTCGAGTGCCATCTATTACCCATACGACCTGCGTCAAGTTGCTTAATCTAAGCTTCTTTGTCAAATAAAGCTAAATCATATCCCATCTTATAAGGAACACCATTATGAAATTATGATTAAATTACATAATACATGCAAGAACACCTTATAAATTATGTATTTCAGACATATACAAAACTTCGTTATTACTATTACTGTTATATCTTTTAGTTCTGTGTTCAAGGGATACTTATAGAGCCACGTTAGTCTCTTCATTTGCATTTTATTATTTTTTTTGAGATGGGGTCTCACTTGGTTGACCAGACTGGTCTTGAATTCCTGGCCTTATGCAATCCTCCCATCTCACCCTTCCAAAGTGCTGGGATTATAGGTGTGAGCAACCATAGCTGGCCCAGCATTTTATTTTTATTTTTAACTTAGATTTTATAAAATTCAACACACAAAAAAGAGCATGTAGTGAAAAATCTCCTTCCTATTTCTCAATCTCCCTCAACTCAATATCACTATTTGGGAGCAAACAATATTTCTTATGGATGCTTCCAGAAATATTTTATGCATATCCATATATATCTTTTCTCCTCTCCCTACCTTTTTACCCACATAGTGACATCCTATCAGTTCCTTTACTTACCCTCATCTTTTTTTTCTCATGCTGTCACAATCTCTTTGCTGGGAATTTCCTCTCCTCATTGAGTTGTCACTCATTTATATTCTCTGATTTGGGTTCAGACATTTATTTTCTCTCAGGTTTTAAAATATATTCTTTAACAGTCCATTTTGTACACTTAACTTTGCACAATATGGTGATGGGTTCCTTTCCCCTGTGATCATCAATGGAAGAAGAGAAGAAATCACCACCTTTGGCAGCAAGCAACATTTTACAGACCGAATGTAAGATCTGTTTGTTGTTGTTGTTTGTTTTTGAGACAGGGTCTTGCTCAGTCATCCAGGCTGGAATGCAGTGGTGTAATCATGGCTCACTGCAGCCTCGACCTCCCAGGCTCAAGCGACCCTTCCACCTTAGCCTCCCAAGTAGTTGGGACTACAGGTGCACACCACCACACTTGGCTACTTTTTTTTTATTTTTTGTAGAGACAGGGTCTCACTATGTTGCCAGGGCTGGCCTCAAACTCCTGGGCTTAAACTGTCCTCCTGCCTTGGCCTCCCAAAGTGCCTTGGCCTCCCACAGTGGTGTGAGCCACTGTGCCCAGCCAAGATCTTTTTTAATTAAAGGTGGTGTTTTAATGTTTTCATGAAAGGCATTACAGCATAATGGAGGGAGGTCATGCTTTAGAGTCAGCCAGACCTAACACCTGGCTCTGCAGCTCTTAAACTGTTTGGCACTGGTCAAGTTCCTGAACCTCACCTCACTGAGTCTTCATTTCCATATTTGAAAAGTGGAAATAATAAATAACTACCTCAAGGGTTATATTATGTAAAGTATATATAGTGGGTGGTATGTCATACATGCTTCATAAATATTATTGATCCTCTTGGTTTTACTACTATTTTACATGTATCACATTAATATTTTCTCACTTAAAAAATAACTTTCATTAAACAAACTCCAAATCATAATCAAGAAACATTTCTTCTTTATCTACTGCATTTACAGGACTGAGTCAGATGGTAAAAATACAAAGAAGGAAAGATATATTCCCCTTTTTGCAAGGAGATTGCAATCTAAGTGGGAGGCATAACGTATACAAAAAAACAATAAATAGTACAGAGAATAGAATCGGAATGAAATAATTTAGTAATAAAAATAGAAAAGACTTTCACATGAAGGAGAGGTGAAATCATGCTAAAGACAAGATGCTCTATTACAACATCTAGTGTTGTTATAAAATTATGAGTAGCTCAATATTTAGAGGAAAAAGCAATAAATAGCAAATTAATGTAACAAAAACAGTAATTTATATATATTTTATTCTGCTTTTCTTAAATGAGGAATATGTTCTGAAGACTGACCATGCTGGAACAAAATTAACTTCCTTTCCACAAGAACTCAAATTATTCTGTTTTGTTCATATGTAGCATGTTCAATATACCAGGTGTTTTATAGAGAGAGAGAGAATGTGGCTGGGCATGGTGGCTCATGCCTGTAATCCCAGAACTTTGGGAGGCCAAGGCGGGTGGATCATGAGGTCAGGAGATCGAGACCATCCTGGCTAACACAGTGAAACCCCATCTCTACTAAAAAATACAAAAAAATTAGCCAGGCATGGTGGTGGGCGCCTGTAGTCCCAGCTACTCGGGAGGCTGAGGCAGGAGAATGGTGTGAACCTGGGAAGCAGAGCTTGCAGTGAGCCTAGATCGTACCACTGCACTCCAGCCTGGGTGACAGAGCAAGACTCTGTCTCAATTAAAAAAAAAAAAAGAAAGAAAAAGAAAAAGAAAAGAGAATGTAGGAAAGCTTCTATAAAGATACAGTTTAAATTTGAAGACTTTGTTTCCTTTCATTTGAATTCAATGAAGTAAATATAAGACACAATTGGACCAACAGTCAATGGAAACTCATTTCTTGTTGATACAACTACATGTCTGTAAACTCTTTCTTGTTATTGAAGTTATTTGCCAGGGACTTAAAAAAAACAAAAAGGCTCATGACAACCCAATGAGCCTGCCTTGCTCACTTTCATGAGGTGATTCAAGTGGACTATACTGCATGAAACCTCGAACACAATAGTTGAAATCTCTGAATGTAGCGGTTTAATCAGGGTGGAGAATATATTGCGGGGGCGATTAAAAATTGCATCAGAGAAATAATGATCCGTCCTTTAATTACTTTCCTTTGTAGTTAGCTTAGATCAATATCAACTGTTTGTTTTATTCAAGGTCTTTTATTTTTCCTTTTTAAAGAAGACATTGCGTGACTGTGCAAGTACAAGAACTAAGAGAAACTCATAAGCACTTGGCAGAGAAGGTTCAAAGTGCACTAAAAGTGACAGACACTGGTTCCTGCAAAGAAAGGCCTGTGCTGTGAAATACCTAACAGCTCATCCAGAATAAGAGTCAAAATAAGGTTACCATCTTTTGTCTAATTTTTACCAAGGTATGGCAAACTCTTAATAAATGTATGACAATAGAAAATTTAAGGTTATATACATATTGGTGTTTGGTTTTGGTTTTGGTTAAATTTTTAAACATTTTTGTGGGCATATAGTAGGTGTGTATATTTATGGGGTACATGGCATGTTTTGAAGCAGGCATGCAATGCGTAATAATCACAGCATGGGAAACGGGGGGTATCCAACCCTTCAAGTATTTATCCTTTGTGTTACAATCCGATTACACTCTTTTAGTTATTTTTAAATGTATAATTAAATTATTTTGACTGTAGTCACCCTGTTATGTTATCAAATACTAGGTATTAATAATCACATCATGGAGAATGGGGTATCCACCTCCTCAAGAATTTATCCTTTGCTAGTTGTTTTAAAATGTACAATTAAGATATTGACTATAGTTACCCTGTTATGCTATCAAATATGAGGTCTTGTTCATTCTTTCTATTTTTTTAACTATTAGCCATTCCCACCTGCCCACCTCCCCCACAAGATGAATGAATAAAGAAAATGTGATACATAGACATACTGGTGTTTTTAAGTGAATCTTCTGAGTGTTCCCTTGAATGAAGCTACCCATTGGAGTAGCTTCGTTACTATAGTTGCCCCTTTTAATCTTTCCCGGGGTTCTCATTGTTAGTGCCAAGTGTTATTACTATTGTTGTTGTTTTATTTTTTGCCAAGGAAAATGAGGAAATGAATATTAGCTTTTTTAAAAACAAAGGACGCCCCAGAAGCAAACCCAAAGTTCCCATCCCATGCCAAATTGGAAAGAATGTATGGAAGTAAAAGAAAACATACTTTCAGGGTGGCCTATTTTGAGGGCACGTCTTGTGATCTGCGAGGGACGTTGCACCTGGTTCCCAACACTGATGTCACAAACAAAACCACATACTCCTTTTGGGTGTGGCATCATACTGGGGCATTGTACCTCCTTTAAATTAGATTCCATTGATGGAAAATTTATACATGATTTGGAAGATAATCTAGAAACAGTCCAGGTGTTCATGTGAATGCTAGAACGGACATCATCCCTTCCTGCGATGGCAGGGGCTGTCACAGATCTTCTTTAAGGGATTGTGTCTCTGAGCTGGGGAGTCATTGTGTCACCCACATTGGTGGGTTAGCTTTACAAAGAGTTATGTTGCCACATTGCTGGGTCACATTATCCTGCCTCATCCCTGCCAAAGGTAAATTCACACAGGGCATTTCTCTTGTGGTTTTGTGGCCTCACATTTTTCAACCCATTACTAGGTAGTGTCATAAAGAATTAAGAGGCCGGGCACAGTGGCTCATGCCTATAATATCAGTACTTTGGGAGGCCAAGGCGGGCGGATCATTTGAGGTCAGGAGTTCGAGACCAGCCTGACCAACATGGTGAAACCCCATCTCTACTAAAAATGCAAAAAAAAAAAAAGAAAAATTAGCTGGGCCTGGTGGCGCATGCCTGTAGTCCCAGCTACTCAGGAGGCTGAGGCAGGAGAATTGCTTGAACCAGGAGGCAGAGGTTGCAGTGAGCCGAGATCATGCCACTGCGCCAGCTTGGGCGACAGGGTGAGACTCCAACTTAAAAAAAAAAAAAAAAAGAAAAGGAAAACAATTAAGAACATGGGCTCTTGGGGCAGTTTGGGTCTGAGTCCCCGAGTGGCCATGTGACCTAACCACTGTGCCTCATCTCTTCATCACTGCCTTTTTCATGAGGTTGCCTTAAAGAATAAGAAAATACACAAAAAGTGGTAGAATACTAACTGACTCATTGTAAGTATGCAGTAAATGTAAGCATTATTATTAGTGATATATAATAATCACTACACAACTAGGTTTAATTTAAATGTCAGAGAATGAAGTATTTTGTCAAGAATTGAATAGAAACTTCTCATTGTCAAAATCCTTGTAGATATTCATCCAATCCTTATATGAATATATTTATAATATTTCCTAACACTAGTATAGTAAATAGTGTAATACTTCCTAACACTAGTATAGTAATGTAACTTCTGAAGATAATCTTGCAGTGCCTCAGAATATCCTTCTGAACATGATTGATCATTATAAAAAATTGAAAAAAGCATGGAAGTTTAGAATCAGTATGCATTGACCCAAGTAATCCCCTTGAAGATTCCAAAATTGTAATGCATAAGCTATGTGAGGGTTTCTTTCCCATACAATTTGCTTTTAAAAGGGAAAAAAATGCACACAAATCCAACCAAATGATTCCAGTTAGTTACAGCTAATGGACATTTCACCATACTTCTCAAATTTCTCAGACTTGCACATTTATCTCTTTTGAATATGGGCTTTTAGATACATTTCCCAAAAACTGAAACTAGAACTTGTGCTTGTGTGTCTATAAATTCCTGTATAAAAGATGGATGCTTAGAGGGCACAGCCAAGACATACACATTCAGAAATTTAAAGACCTTATTTGATAAACAAGAAAGAATAAAATCAAGTAAATTAAAATTTTAACTCAAGAAGCTAGAAAAGTAGCAACAAAATAAACCAAAGAAAGCAGGGAGAATTCATAAATGTCAAAGTAGAAAATAATAAATGAAAAAATAGAAATAAATAGGATTTATAAATAATCTAAGATCAGTTTCAGTGAAAAGTACAGACAAAATCTGGCTGTTTTAGTCGAGAAAAACATAGTAAAAATTTAAATGTTATGACTATAGGCCAGTAAGAAATTAAAAATTATCAGAGAATATTATTCATAATTCTTTGCCAATCTACTTGGAAAAACTTGATGAAAGATATAATTTTTCTAGGAAATATATACATTTTAAAAATAGAGAAAAAGGAAGAAGTTAAAACAACAATGAAGGAACAAATAGTCACAAAAGAAATAAACGAAGTTGTCAAAGTATTACTCCCTTTTTGTGCATCCCCTCATAGGTCTTATGATAATTTTTTAGAAAATCTTTTTATAATAAACTATGTTTATGCTAATGAAGCTATTATATAGCATATAAAACTCTGGACATTAAAGTATATTTATTACTTGTGGCTAGCATAACATGTTACTAGAACTTGACAAAGGTAACAAGAAGAAATAAGATTCTAGGATACAAAATCATAAGAAAAATTAGCAAGTCCACCAAAGCATTGAAAAGAATATTAGGTGTTGGAAAAACACCATTTAGTTTAGAATTGCAGTGATAGCTTAACACTAGGAAATCTAGTATGTAATTTACCACATTGATAGAACAAAAGAAACAAAATAATAAAACATATTTTATTATAATAAATGTTAAAAGTGCCTTTGATAAAAATTAAACACTTTATTATAAATCTTTCAGTAAACTAGAGATAGAAAGATGTTTATATTATCTGACAAAGCATTTTTGTCACAAATCAAAGCCAACATTATTATTTGAATGTTAAAAAATACAGAAACTTGCAATATAATCCTGCTTATCATTTTTCAATATTTTTCTGGAGGAACACCCAGTGAAAAAAAGTAAGCAAAAGAAATAAAAGGTATATCTCTTAGTGATACTAAACTATCATTACTTGCAGAGGGTAAAATTCACTACCTGGAAAACCCAAGAGAGTCAACCGACAATAACTAGATCTAATAACTGAGCTCAGAAAAGAGGTCAGATACAAAATAAAGACAATGACACAATGAAGAACTTCCTTTTTTTTTTTTTTTTTTTTTTTAAGACGAGTCTCACTCTGTCGCCCAGGCTGGAGTGCAGTGGTGCGATCTCGGCTCACTGCAACCTCCACCTCCCGGGTTCAAGCGATTCCCCGGCCTCAGCCGCCCAAGTAGCTGGGACTACAGGCGCCCGCCACCATGCCCGGCTAATTTTTTGTATTTTTAGTAGAGATAGGGCTTCACCATATTAGTCAGGATGGTCTGGATCTCCTGATCCTCGTGATCCGCCCGCCTCGGACTTCCGAAGTGCTGGGATTACAGGCGTGAGCCACCGCGCCCGGCGAAGAGCTTCCTTTTGCGCCAGTAATAATCAGTGGGTAATCCACAAAACTTTGGGATCATCTAAGATTTTCTAGTTATAGGGAAACTTGAGTAAGGTAGCCAACTATAGTATGAAAAGAATGGCTATATTAATAATCAAAGAGATATAAATTGAGATGGCAATTAAATAGTATTTTGTATCTAAATTAGCAAAGATCAGAATATCATAATAACCTGTGCTGATGAATAGAACAAAACAAAGCACTCTCATATATCATTTACAGAAATGTAAATAAATATAATTTTACTTGTGGATATTTCTTTTTTCATCTATATATATTTAAGTTTTATTTTATTTTAGATTCAGGGGGTATATGTGCATGTTTGCTACATGAGTATACTGCATACTGCTGGGGACTGGGTTTCTAGTGTACCCATCACCCAAATAGTGAACATTGTACCAATACGTAAATTTTCAATCCCCACCCTCCTCCTACCCCTCCCCCTTTTGGAGTCCCTAGTGTTTATTATTTTCATCTTTATGGCTTTGTGTACTCATTGTTTAGCTCCCACTTATAAGTGAGAATGTACAGTATTTGGTTTTCTGTTTCTGTGTTGATTCACTTAGGTTAATGGCCTCAAGCTACATCCATCTTGCTGCAAAAGACATGATTTCATTCTTTTTATAGCTTTGTAGTATTCTATGGTGTATATACACCACATTATCTTTATCCAGTCAACTGATGATGGACATTTAGGTTGGTTCCATAACCGCTGTTGTGAATAGTGCTGCAATGAGCATACAAGTGCAGGTGTCTTTTTAAATTTGATTTCTTTTTCTTTGGGTAGATAACCAGTAATGGGATTGCTCGGTTGAATGGCAGTTCTATTTTTATTTCTTTGAGAAATCTCCGTGCTGTTTTCCATAGAGGTTGAACTAATTTACATTCCTACTAACAGTGTATAAGTGTTCCCTTTTCTCTGCATCCTCACCAACACCTGTTGTCTTTTCACTTTTTAATAATAGTTATTCTGACTGGTGTAACATGGTGTCTCACTATGGTTTAAATTTGCACTTATCTGGTGATTAGTAATGCTGAGCATTTTTTCATGTATTTCTTGGCCACTTGTTTTTATTCTTTTGAGAAATGTCTGTTCATGTCCTTGTGTTTCTGAAATTTACTTTAAAATCTATAAAATGAACATATTTGTGACAGAAATAGCCTTCTAGAAACCTGTCCTAAGGAATAATTAGAAAAGGGTGCAAAGATATATGAATGTTTATTAAAGCTATGTTTTTAATGATCAAAACTCTAAATAACTTGTGTCCATCAGTAAAGATTTGGTAATACAAATTGTGGAGAATACATTACTGTTCAGTCATCAAAATGTGTGTTATACAAAACTATATGGTGATTTGGAAGATGTTCATAATATAGTGAATGGAAAAATGGAGATTATAGAACATTGTACAGTTTAATCTTATATTGCAAAGCTGCATGCACCTGTGTATGTGCGCTCACACACACATATTCTGAGCCCAGAAGGGCTTGATGGTTCCATCTCTTCCTCCTCTTCTTTGCATATTGGTTTTTACTGTTAAAAGAACTTTGGTTGAGCTGGAGGAATAGGAGCTGATGAGTACACAGGTATCTGTAGGCAAGAGAGTAAAATCTGTAAGCAAGAGAGTAAAATGAGTAGAAGTAGTGGCATCTGACCCTATCCTGGCTCTTTTAGACTATCCCTAAGCTCCACTGGCAGGAAGAATAGAGTTAGATTTTGAGGGAGCTATTTTTGTAAAACCTCTTCCAAGTCTGGACACTAGCATTGCTACTTAAAGGCTCAGGTGACAAAGTAAAGAACAAATATTTGGACATGGCCATTTACCCCATTTCTGCATCGAATCCGATGCCACAGGAGAGAACACAAATGGGAGCCACTGGCAGCAGAAGAAGTAACGGGCACTGGAATTCAAGGCTTCCATGGCACAGGACCTTATGAAACAAAAGAATGAAAATAGACATATTCTCAACACAAATAATCTACTTCTCAATCTCCCATAAATATTGTACAGTGGTTACAATTACTATTATAACACTGAGGAATTTTGATTTGGGGAAATATGGGTTTAATAGCTAATATGACATCACTTTAGTTTGTCTGAAACTATCTTTATTTCACCTTTGTTATTTGTAAAGAATTGTTTCCCTAAGTATAGAGTTCTAGGTAGGCAGTTATTTTGTTTTAGCAAAGATGTGATTCCGTTGTCTTCTGGCTTACATTGTTTCTATTGAAAAACCAGATATAGTTTTATTGTCTAAGGTAACTTATTTATAGCTATTGTTTTCTTTATCTCTGGCTTTTTTCTTTTTTTTGAGATGGAGACTCGCTCTGTTGCCCAGACTGGAGTGCAGTGGCACAATCTTGGCTCACTGCAACCTCTGTCTCCCAGGTTCAAGCGATTCTTCTGCCTCAGACTCCTGAGTAGCTGGGACTACAGGTGCACACCACCATGCCCAGCTAATTTTTTTTGTATTTTTAGTAGTGATGGGGTTTCACCATGTTGGTCAGGCTGGTCTGGAACTCCTGGCCTCAGGTGATCTGCCTGCCTTGGCCTCCCAAAGTGCTAGGATTACAGGCGTGAGCCACCACTCCCGGCCATCTCTGGCTATTTTTTCAACATTTTCTTACTGTTGTTTTGTTTTATTTCAGTAGTTTTACTATGTTGTGACTCTGTAGTTTTCTTTATATTCCTTTTGAATTCATAGTATTTCTTGAATCAGTGGTTTGAGGGTTTTCGTCAGTTTTAGAAAACTTAACACCATTATTTTTGCTATAATCTCTCTTTTTCTCATTCTTCTCATTAGGAATCTAATGACATACAGTTTAGACCCTTTGACCACGTATACTATGTCTCTTACATTCTTTGCTATATCTTCTCTCTCTCTCTTTCTCTCTCTCTCTCTCTGGTCATTTTTCTCTGATTTGTCTTTTAGTTCACTAATTCTTGTTTATCTCTTTTTAGTATTTGATTAAATGTATCTTTGAAGTTCTTTGTTAAATCTGTTGTATTTTAATTCCAGATTTTCTACTTTTTTTCAATGGCTTTCAGTCCTCTGCTGAAATTTTTACTTTATCATCAATTATCTTGAATGCACTAAACCCAGGTGTTTTTAAGTCTATTTTGATCAATTTAATCTTGATCACCTATAGGTCTATTTATATTGTCTGTTTTTTTCTCACTCTTGTCCTTTAGTATACCTGGACCTGACAACTATTGATTACATTATAAATATTGTTTATGAAAAATTGTAGAGGCTCTGCATGATATGTGGAGAATGTATTTCTGCTTCTGGCAGGCAGTTAGAATAGAAGCAGATCATCCTAATTTAGTCTGGTATCAAGGTGATTCTATGCTGAGTTGTAATTTTTGGGAATCCTAGTCTGTTTCTCTTACTCCTAGGTGTAGCCCTACCAGGTATTTACTGCAAGTCTAGGTTGTTTATCAAGGTCTATCATCCTTAGCAAGCTCTGGACTTCATGAATATTATGAGACTTTTTAAGAGCTCTCCTTAACGTCTTAGCCTCTCAGTCACTTTTGTTTTTTTCTTCTCAGCCTCTAGGCCTTTTGGAAACTATCTTCCTAAAAGGAAAAGCATCACCAAATGTTTAGCTCACTTTTTTGGTGTACCTTTTTTTGCACTTTTCTGCTGTCTGGGATCTTGTTCCCTCTTCTCGTGACTACATTGACAGCCTTGAACTCCAGTTTTTGTCTCTTTAGCCCCTTGAGATTCCTGACAACTTTGACCAGCTTCTCTGACAGTTGGGCTCATGTTTCTGCTCAGCTTCTGAGCTCTCAGACATGCCCTATTCATAAACTGGCAAATGACTCAAAGGAAAAAGTAGCATGAGATGTTGGGCTTGCTTTCACATGTTTCCCTTCCCTTTGACGTGTTGGATCCCCAGATCCTGGCTGCATTGGGAACTTTCTGCTGCATTCAAACAGGTTTTATTTTGGTATTTTATTCATTTTTGAATTGTTTTAATGGTGACAAAATCTAATAAAAACTAGTCATTTATAGCAGGGAGGGGATATCCTCTCTGAAGGGGAGTCAAGGAGTTATACGTGACTCCTCTCTTTCTCACACACCCCACTCCTAATCTCTCAGCAAATCCTGTTGACTCTACCTTCAGAATATATTCAAAGTCTCCCCACTTCTCACCATCCCCACTGTTACAACTCTGGTCCAAGTCACTTTCACATCTCACCTCATTATAACAATAGCCTCTTTACTGTTGAGACTGTTTCAACCCTTGCTCTCTACAATCTATTTTCAACAAAAAGATTGAACAACCTGTTGAAAATTTAAGTCACTCCTCTGCTGACAACACTACAGTGGGCACCCATTTCACTCAGTAAATTTCAAAGCTGTTATTGTGGTGTTACAGATTGTATTTTCCAAAGATAGCCACATAATATCTTTTGCCTCATATATTTTCTAGAGCTTTGTCATTTCCTCATCAAGAAATGGGGTCTATGTCTCTTCCCATTGAACCTGCACAGACCTTTAGGCAGACTTGATCAGTAGAGTATATCGAAAGTGATGCTCTGTGACTTCCAAGGCTAGGTCACAGGTGCCATGCATTTCTTCCTTGCTCTCTTGGGAAGCTCACACTTGGAAACTAGCCACCAATCTGTGAGGAAGCCCAAGATACCCAGAAAGAGATAATAAAGAGTAGGAATGAGGTCTATAACCCATAGTTTTGGCCGAGATCACAGATTACAGCCAGCACTACCTTGCCAGGATGTGACTAAGCTATCATTTAGGCAGATGCTCCAGCCCCTCGTCAAGCTGCTCCATGTGATGCCATGTGGAGCAAAGATAAGCTCTTTCCACCAATCCCTGCTTAAATTGCAGATTTTGTAAGCAAAATAAACGGTTGTTATTGCCACTAGGCTTGGGGGTAGTTTGTGATGAAGAAATAGGTAACTGACATACATAACCTACAAGATCCTGCATAATATGATTCCTAGATACCTTTTGAAAATCTCACTTCTTCTACATCTTATCTCATCTATTTTACTCTGAACATGTTTGAATGTGCCAAACCTTTCCCTACCTCAGGGCCTTTATGCTGCTTCTTTTGTCTGCCTCGAATATTTTACCTCCTTTTATCCCCAGGCTTTGTTCCCTTACCTCCTTCCAGTCTGAGCTCAAATATAATTTTATCAGTGAGAACTTTTCTAACTACTTTGCTTTTCTCCATAGCACTTCTCATCAACTTACATATTATATATTTTATTTACTGTGGTCAATTGTCTGTCTTTCCCCATAAGAATGTAAACTACCTGAAAGAGCAAATTTGTTTTGAGTCCCAAGTGTTTTTAATGAGCAAATAATAGGGAAACAATAAATTTTGCAGCAAATAAATTTATTTAAAATTTTGCTTTGTTGACTATTTCTGTCATTAATCTCTTTTTTGATGTACGTATTCTCATTAGTCATCCATCTCTTTTTGATATATCCACACTCACGGACAGGTTTACATACAGACACTGGGAATTCCTGAGAAATCTGTCTGTAAAATGTATTCACTCTTCTTGAAGGTATTTACTTTGTTTTTTCAAACAAGCACATGACCTTAGTTTCCTAAGATCAAACTGCATTCGTTAAGTCTTAGAAGTGGCTGGGAATCTCCTTTAAGCTCCCGTTTTGTCAGCTTTCTTTTCTTCACTGGTCTGGTCCTTTCTCCTGTCTTGTCAGTTTAATCCAGTGGTAGCTTCATTTTTTAGCTTTTAGGAAGGGATAGATTGCTCTTGCCTACGTAGTCTATGTCCCATGAAAGATCAAAGTCTGTAAAGTTCCCAGAGTGCAAGAAAACAAGTCTTTTTGCAATCACTCTCCATATTTTTGCTCTCTATTTTTCCTTCTACTTCCCTGTCTGGGCCAGAAAGCCCCTTTTTGTTTTCAATGGATCCTAAAATTGCCTTTCTAGTTAGTTATCAAACCTGTCCTTCTCTATAGTACGACCATATTATACAGTCTTGTTACCATATGTAATCAGAATAAATAAGCAATGCTCTCAATTTCTCCCTTAAACATTGAGGAGTAAAATATCAATAGAAGTCATTTGACCAGATCAAGCACATTTCCATTCTACATGTAATTTGCTGATGTGTTTGCCAAGGGAAAGGTCAAAAGGAAGTTGCATAAAAAATGATTGAATCTGCTTACTTGCTCTTTTTTTAAAGGACCCTTCTAGAGAACATTTGCCTTCGGCAACGGACTCTGAAGGTCACTGTCCTCTGGAGCTTAAGAACCAATATAATCATAGAATCCAGCCACTCAATAAATCCCAGCATCATACTCCAAAAGAGCTGCTGTTTCCAATTTCTTTATTCTTTGTAAAAAATATGGATAGGGATTTGTTTGATAAAAGAGCTGCTGAAATAGAAATAAAGAAATCTTTCAGATCTGATTTTGATTCTTTGCTTACTGTGAGATTAAAACACTCCAAAAGTAACTTTGCTTTTGTTCCTAGATCCCTTCTTAAGTCAAGTCGTCATTCTAAAACTGATCTACTGGATCAAAAAATATTAAATACGAAGAAAAATTGAGACAGATTTGCCAAGTGGTTTGCCTGCCTATATCAAGTAACAAAAGTACATTTGTGCTTAGTATGGAGATGCCATCTTCTTAGAGTTATAAGTGAATTAGCATTGGAAAAACATGTATCTGACAAGACGAATTTGGGGGCCTGACTGACTTAACATTTAAAATGTTTATGGGAAAGAATAGCAAAATGAATAAATGAGAGAGCAGCAATTCAGTGTAACTGAAGAGTTATGGTTATATCTAAGAACAAAGATCAGAGACACAGAGAGTACTTCTAGCAGATGAATTTCATACCTTTTTAAACCTAAGAAATACAGCAAGACCCAACCGATCACCTAAACATGCCTCCCTTATATCCTGGTCTCTTTTTTCATGATTGTTGGGGCTTCTTAAAAGATTGGGTGTCTGCTTCTCCCAGGAGTGATAATGTTACAAAATCTTTTCACAGATGCAAGCAATTTGTTCAAAATAAGGCCTTCAAACTCAACAGTTTTCCAGTGTGTACCTCAAATGGAGAAGAAAAGGACTATCAACTGAAGTTCTGCTGATTTTAATATAAGATTGTGAGAGCAGTCATTTACTGCTCATCCCCTTATATTTCTGTAACACTCTTTCCTTAAGTTCAACTCCTAAGTCTGTGAAGCTGTGGGCAGAGTCTCTGTGTTGACAGAAACTTCAGTTTGGAGTTTCTAAGCGTCTATGTCCACTATTTTTTTTGATAAGAAATTTCCCCTTTTCCCCCATACTTATGTTAAGTAGAAAAAGTGGATTGATTTTTTTTTTTTTTAGATGGAGTCTTGCTCTGTTGCCCAGGCTGGAGTGCAGTGGCACTATCTTCGCTCACTGCAACCTCCATCTCCCAGGTTCAAGTGATTCTCCTGCCTCAGCCTCCTGAGTAGCTGGGATTACAGGCATCCACCACCACGCCTGGGTAATGTTTGTATTTTTAGTAGAGACAGGGTTTCACCATGTTGGCCAGGCTTGTCTCGAACTCTGGACCTCAGGTGATCCACCCGCCTGGGCCTCCCAAAGTGTTGGGATTACAGGTGTGAGCCAACATGCCTGGCCCAACTTTCTTTTTATTAAGAGTAACTCACTCTGAAAGAGAACTGTAGGGAAGAATCCTCTGTAGGGGTTGCCTTTCTGTGATTCTCTTTAGTCACTTCACTGGTGCCCCCTTACAGCACCTGTGATCACTGCTCCCCTCCGTGTGGGCTCCTTCAATTAATGGTTGGCAATAGTGCTTCCCTATAGCCAAATCTTCTGAGGGTTGCTACTGTTATCACTTTCTCATATACAGCCAAGAACTGCTGGAACCCTCTTTGTTTTAGCCCCACATAAACAGAATCACTCTTACACTGTTGAGCCCACCAGCACCATATAATTTTTAGACAGAATGTCAACAAGTCCTATAAAGTTAGACGGGGAAACTAATCTACATGATACTGCAAGATATCACACTTTTAACAGCTATTTAACACTCATTCGTTAGTCTCATAGGCAAATCATAGATCCTGTATTTAAGCTAAAATGCTCTTTTAGCTCAGCATGAGCTTTCAGATTCCCCAAAGGTGTCCCAGCAAGGGCAAAGCAGTGTAGAGCCCTTCACTTCCTCCTAGAAGTGGTGGACGCCAGGTGAGTATTTGGCAAACAAATCACAATCCTCTTCAGACATTCCTCCATAAAGCACAGGGACAACAAGTACCCTAGGCCTAACAAAAATCTCCAGGTACCCATCATTCCACAGGACAGGTATGCAAAATAAATTCTTTACATCTAATGATACATCTAATGCACCCGCACACATGTACTCTGCAGGGTTTGCCTCTGTGTGTGTAAATACATAGAAAATATTTGCTGTTCAGATTTATGTGACTCTGTGTGTGTGTGTGTGTGTGTGTGTGTGTGTGTGTTAAATCCTTTGAAAGCACCATTTACTCTTTATCTCCCTCCCCTATTACAGTTATAGCTAGATCTCAAAACTAAGTTCAAGGTTTACATCTGAGGTATAAGTCACAAGCATGATAATAAATATAGAATATGGGATAGGAGGCAGCAGAGTCTACAGAAAACTCACTGACCTGAGCTTGAATAAAGGTTTAATGTCTGCTGTGTCATGCATATAATTCTGATGTTCATGGTTTGATTTACTTATTTAGAAAGTAAAAATGACTATATATTAGGTTGGTGCAAAAGTAATTGCGATTTCTTAATGGCAAAAATCACAATTCCTTTTGCACCAACCTAATAGTTCAGTGGGGTCACAAATACACTCGAACTACACTCCAATGTGTAGGAAGAAAAATGGGCTCTCTTTATTTTTTCCTTTAACGGATCTGATTTCCTCCCTAAGTCCCCACAATGCACAGCCCAATTCAGTGTTTTCAGATCAAATAACTTAAAGTCTCTTTAGACAAATTCTCAATCTCATTTGGATGAAAGCATTGACTTTTTTTTTCTGACCTCTCTTCTGCTCCTCTTAAGGACAGTGTTGGGACAGAGAGGGAAGTGTGGCTCCAGCAACCTTGTGGTGGTGGAGGGGAGCCTGGGTCCCCGATTGCTTTGTGCTATGTCTGGAGTGGAGACAAATGTTGCCTAACTAGTCCTGGCCTCATTTCCCTGCATAGTCTTGGTGTCTGCTGTTGGGGTCTGATGCTTGTGTAACTTGTGGGCTGGTTCCTCAGCTTGACAGGGCCTAGCCACACTCTATCAAGATGTGGCTCCTCTTACTTGCTTTATGGATATGGTTATCACTCCAAATTTGTCCTTGTCAACTCTCCAGCTCATGACATTATCAACCCTTTGCCCCACCAGGGCCACTCCAGCCAAAGTTCTTCATCCCAACTCTCAGCCAACTGTGTGCCACCCTACTCCAAGGACAGAGGAGAACTCCAGGGCTCTATAAATTCCACTTATGACTCAATGCTGTGGTGTGTGTGTGCAAACCCTCTTCTTACAGGCAATACTACGCTGCACCCCAAGATTGCAATAGATAGTCTACAAGGGGATTTCCTCTCAGATCCTAATGTGAAGTTTGGCAGAAGCTCTCCTGCCCTCTTGTTTTCCTCAGTGTATTTCAAATGCTTTTCATCACTTCTTGAACTTTCAATCCAGAGAGGAAAGGCAGGAATAGTTTGCATCTCACTGTTTCTTCTCACTCTGTCCATTTTTCTCTTCTCACAATACTTGTACTAGAAAAGAAATGCATACCTCTCCCTCTTTCTGTAATGGCAATTACACCTAAATATCTAGGCTCAAAATAATAGATACTTTCTTAAACACATATACATTCCAGAGTGGTCTTAGGATGGAGGTAAGGTAGTGTTTCAGTTTTCTACCAATACATAATAAGTTACCCCAAACTTAGCAGCTCAAAATAATACTTAGTTTTATGATATTTCAGAATTTTGTGGATTTAGTATTCAGAAAAGGCTCTATTGCACAGTTCTTCTCTGCTCTGCATGATCTCAGATGAGGAAGCTCAACTGGGACTGGAGGATGTCCTTCCAGGACAATTTACCCATGGGGGTGAGCAAGTTGATACTGGTTTTCGGGAGCCTCTTAACAGGGCTCCTTAGACTTCCGAACAGTAGAGTGCCTAGGTTCCAGGAAGCCTAGATGGGAGTTTTAAGGTAGCATCACGATGGTACTTTATTTATTGAACAGTCAGGTCAATGAGGTCAGCTTAAATTTAAAGGGAGGGGAGGAGTAGACTCCATATTCTGATGGGGAATGGCATGTTCCCATAGGTAAGAAAGGAACTGATGGCAGTCGTCTTGGAAAATAAGCTGCCATATTTTTTATTAAGCTCCAGGTAGTCATTCAGGGACTCAACCTGTAACTTCTAAGGTCATCCCAGGGGTTTCCTTCATCCCAGACATCCAGACATGTGGAAGAAGGAGGGAACATATGCGGCATATTTTTGAACATGGCCTGAAAGGGGCACATAGCACTTCAACTTACAGTCCATTGACTAGAACTCGGCTACAGGGTCACACATGACCTCAAGGGAGGCTGAGAATGGAGCTTCACTGTGGATCCAGAAAAAAGAAGACAACAGGGTTCTTGGTGAGCAGAGGTCACAGCACACTCTGTAGTCAGGTCAGCCAGGCTAGCCGTTGTTATGATATGCAGGAACTGAGAAAGTTTAGAAAAGTTTATCTTTCTTGGCAATGACTGACTTTCAAATCTATTTTCCTCACAGTGAGTTTTCTTAAAAAAAAAATCTATTTCGACAGTCAGAGATGAGCAATGAATGACCTTATTGTACTGTGGCTGTTTGCCACGCTGAGTGGAAAGCTCCAGAGCCGCAAGACTGACAGGGGGTGAAAATGCATCTGAGAAGACAGAACCTTTTCCTATCTTCATCATGTATGTTTACATAATAAAATCATATGCATGATTATCAGATGACTGCATACACCAAAATTTTGTTGGTTTGAAAGAACTGAAATATTTATTTTGAAATTTGGTTTGCTCTTGAACAGCAACAGTAGATCCATCTCCAAAGTCCTCAGGCACCCTAGAAGCTAGAGAAATAATTATATTCATCTTTATAACCCTGTCTCCCTCCAGAGAGCAAATATTTGTTGAGCACCTACTATCATCTAGGCACATTTTTAGATACTGGGTATCCATCACCAATGACCGAATCCCTTTGTTCATAGGGGCTACATTCTATTGTAGGACTTACATTCTGGTGGGCATATGCTCCAATACCTAATGAAGTATTCAAAGTTTAAAAATACTTGTAGAATGTGAAGGGATAAATTATTATAAACTCTAAGATACAAGGTAATTTTAGGCTCTTTAAGCTTTTAGAAAAAAACAACATGTTGAATCTGAAAAAAATTATTTAAAACGTAAAGAATTTGAGTGCTTACTATCTATGCACTTATTACTTATGCAAAAAGTATTAATATGATTACTAGCCATCAGAAATGTGAAAATATCCTGAGATCAAGCATTTTTCTCACTTCTTCCATCTAATTGCTACTCAATAACAAATTATTAATAAAAGATAGAGTATACTACTGAAATGAATACAAACATTGTAGGAAAATATTGTTAAAACATTTCTTAACTTACAAAAGGTAAAATAGGTCCTTCAAAATTATTTTGGTAATATACAAAATTTCTAAATAATGTCATAATAACTTTATGTACGTAATTATTCCTGTGGTTGTAACTGCTTTTGTAATCAAGTGATTGTTTCAATAAATATGTGAATCCCAGCCAGACTTGGTGAACAACAATAATGAAATCAGCACATAGCCCTCTAAAGACTAGACTACTTTTTAACTCTCTTCCATACATTTCTATGCATCTTTTCATTTTTTTTAATCCCAGTTAATGATTTGTATGGAAAGTGAGGCCATTCTACACAAACTTAAACTCAGATAATATTATGAGGTTTGCAGATTAAACCATGGAAAATTAACATTGGGAACACTCAGTATTATTCCATCACTTAATTGCCATGTCACCTTGCTCTGTAACTGTCTGCTCCTTAATCATTTACCGTCTGTTAGATGGGAAAACTTCCTCCATGGTTTTATAAAGATTAGATAATAACTATAAAGTAATTTCTGGAGAAAAGCTCTTGGCAGAGGTATCATAGGGATAGATAATAGTTTATTATTAACTGACAAGATGGAATCCAACTATCCAAGTCATGGGAAGCAGTAATGGCTAAGAAGTCCAGTGCATTAGATTGTGCATAATAAATGTGACTTGGTAAAGGTTAGGATAAACAAAGACAGTGTGATGGACAACACTGGCCCTGAGCTTTTTATGCCCCATAGATGTCTCCTAATTAAATCTGATACGTAAGTCCCGTGGCAGTCATAAAGTAAGAAAAACATTGAAAATATGCTTTCAAGCATAAGCATTTAAACTTCTTTGGGAAACAGATTAATTAAATGCACTTGTAGGAAAATGGAAGGTTTAGGAAAGAGTTATTCCTGCTACTACTAGCCAGTATTTCCAAGACCAATCAAGAGCCAGGGAAGAAATTGTGGAGAATAATACACAGAGGGAATACTGTACTTCAGAGCTGGAAAATTTCCTCTGGAGTAGGTAAGGTAAGTCGCCAGCGTGATTTTTTAATAGCAGTCCTTTGAAGGATGAGTAGCTCCCTTGAAGGAGATGAGATCATTGAATCAGAAACAAACTGGGGACATCTGACCTGAAAGTGAACTTAGATTAGGGAGTGAGACTATAGATTAGATCACCTCTCCAAGAGCCAACCAGGTAGCCTTCATCGGAAAAATGAAGATATAATATGCTTATAGCACCAGTATATTAATTGGCCTTTATATTTATTCCAAGATAATCCCAAGGAAAACATGGTAATATCTCAGGAAGTCAGAATCCTGGGTAGGTTGGTGGACACAGGTGTGTGTTGTAGGCGTGTTTTGCAAAAGTTCCATGTGACTGTTTTTACTTAAAGATATTGGCTCACATCCCTGTTTTTTTGTTTTTTTGTTTTTTTGTTTTAAATTTATTTTTTTATTGATAAATCTTGGGTGTTTCTCAGAGAGGGGGATTTGGCAGGGTCATGGGACAATAGTGGAGGGAAGGTCAGCAGATAAACAAGTGAACAAAGGTCTCTGGTTTTCCTAGGCAGAGGACCCTGCCGCCTTCCGCAGTGTTTGTGTCCCTGATTACTTGAGATTAGGGATTGGTGATGACTCTTAACGAGCATGCTGCCTTCAAGCATCTGTTTAACAAAGCACATCTTGCACCGCCCTTA
Organism: Homo sapiens; assembly: GCF_000001405.40. Taxonomy (NCBI): domain Eukaryota; kingdom Metazoa; phylum Chordata; class Mammalia; order Primates; family Hominidae; genus Homo; species Homo sapiens. The sequence goes on along the minus strand of NC_000013.11, from coordinate 73,575,961 downwards.
ATCCATTTAACCCTGAGTGGACACAGCACATGTTTCAGAGAGCACAGGGTTGGGGGTAAGGTCACAGATCAGCAGGATCCCAAGGCAGAGGAATTTTTCTTAGTGCAGAACAAAATGAAAAGTCTCCCATGTCTACTTCTTTCTACACAGACACGGCAACCATCCGATTTCTCAATCTTTTCCCCACCTTTCCCGCCTTTCTATTCCACAAAGCAGCCATTGTCATCCTGGCCCGTTCTCAATGAGCTGTTGGGCACACCTCCCAGACGGGGTGGTGGCCGGGCAGAGGGGCTCCTCACTTCCCAGTAGGGGCGGCCGGGCAGAGGCGCCCCTCACCTCCCGGATGGGGCGGCTGGCCGGGCGGGGGGCTGACCCCCCAACCTCCCTCCCGGACGGGGCGGCTGGCCGGGCAGAGGGGCTCCTCACTTCCCAGTAGGGGCGGCCGGGCAGAGGCACCCCTCACCTCCCGGACGGGGCGGCTGGCCGGGCAGGGGGGCTGACCCCCCCCACCTCCCTCCCGGACAGGGCGGCTGGCCGGGCGGGGGGCTGACACCCCCACCTCCCTCCCGGACGGGGCGGCTGGCCGGGCAGGGGGGCTGACCCCCCCCACCTCCCTCCCGGACAGGGCGACTGGCCGGGCGGGGGGCTGACACCCCCACCTCCCTCCCGGATGGGGCGGCTGGCCGGGCAGAGGGGCTCCTCACTTCCCAGTAGGGGCGGCTGGGCAGAGGGGCCCCTCACCTCCCAGACGGGGCGGCTGGCCAGGCGGGGGGCTGACCCCCCCACCTCCCTCCCGGACGGGGCGGCTGGCCGGGTGGGGGGGCTGACCCCCCCATCTCCCTCCCGGACGGGGTGGCTGGCCGGGCTGAGGGGCTCCTCACTTCCCAGTAGGGGCGGCCGGGCAGAGGTGCCCCTCACCTCCCGGACGGGGCGGCTGGCCGGGCGGGGGGCTGACCCCCCCACCTCCCTCCCGGACGGCACGGCTGGCCAGGTGGGGGGCTGACCCCCCCACCTCCCTCCCGGACGGCACGGCTGGCCAGGCCGGGGGCTGACCCCCCCACCTCCCTCCCGGATGGGGCGGCTGGCCGGGCGGGGGGCTGACCCCCCCCACCTCCCTCCCGGACGGGGTGGCTGCCGGGCGGAGACGCTCCTCACTTCCCAGATGGGGTGGCTGCCGGGTGGAGAGGCTCCTCACTTCTCAGACGGGGCAGCTGCCGGGCGGAGGGGCTCCTCACTTCTCAGACGGGGTGGTTGCCAGGCAGAGGGTCTCCTCACTTCTCAGACGGGGCGGCCGGGCAGAGATGCTCCTCACCTCCCAGACGGGGTCTCGGCCGGGCAGAGGCGCTCCTCACATCCCAGATGGGGCGGCGGGGCAGAGGCGCTCCCCACATCTCAGATGATGGGCGGCCGGGCAGAGACGCTCCTCACTTCCTAGATGTGATGGCGGCTGGGAAGAGGCGCTCCTCACTTCCTAGATGGGATGGCGGCCGGGCGGAGACGCTCCTCACTTTCCAGACTGGGCAGCCAGGCAGAGGGGCTCCTCACATCCCAGACGATGGGCGGCCAGGCAGAGACACTCCTCACTTCCCAGACGGGGTGGCGGCCGGGCAGAGGCTGCAATCTCGGCACTTTGGGAGGCCAAGGCAGGCGGCTGCTCCTTGCCCTCGGGCCCCGCGGGGCCCGTCCGCTCCTCCAGCCGCTGCCTCCCGGGCGGCGCTTGCCGGCGCGGCGGCAAAGACTTCACATCCCTGTTAAAGGCATCCCATTTTTATTTCTTTTGTAAAGAGTGGAAACTTTTGGCAGGAGAATTATCAACCACGTGACTCCTTTAGGTGTAATATTTGCTTAAGATGTGATATACACCAATGAATGGTAAGAAGCCTTCTACATAGGAAAATTTAGTCAATAAATGTTTATATGGGCACCTAATATTTGTAAGGATATTATGTTTGGTTTGTAAAGTATAAAAGAACAAATAAGACATTTCCTCTCATTGAGCTCACATTTTAACATAGATAAGAGTCTCTGGATAATTAGTTCTGTGAGATGTAGCATAAATATATGACTATATATATATGCAGTATATATACATATACAGTAGAATCAAGAAAAGAATGAGCAATATAGAATTGAGAAACATATCATAGAGTAGATGAAATTTTAAGCAAAACTTAAAGAACAAATAGGATTTCTAACAAGTAGAAGAAGGAAAGAAGTGTATTCAAGGCAAAACAAAACAGTCAAGGCAGGTGATCTGAAAGTTCATTGTTTATTCTAAACTTGAAGACTGGTGCAGTGTGGCCAGATTATAAAACTATGTGGTGAAGTGTGAAGTCAGGGGTGTATCTACCATGAGGTGGAGTTGTTACTTTCCTTTATTGCATACATAATGGAGGATCATTAAGGGTTTTTGAGCATAGGAATGGCATCATTAGATTTGTGTTTTAAAAGCATTAAATGGCAGTGTGGTGAATGAATTGCAAAGTAGAGAGTCTGTGATTAGAATAAATTAAATACTTATCAGGTTAATTGGATAATATACAAGAAAACATTTGATAAATTTATAAAGAACAAAGCTAAGTGTAAATTTCTATTATTTATGGTCCAGGAAAGAAGTGATAAGTACCTAAACTATGGAAGTGTCAAAGGCATTAGGAAATAGCAAATGTTTGAGAGACATTTTAGAGGTAACAATAATAGTAATAACAGTGGACATTTATTAAGTGGGTGCTATGTTTCAGGCACTGTTTTAAGTGCATTCCATGGATTATTTCATGTAATCCTTACTATGCTTTAAGAAGAAGGAACCATTTCAAAGATCTAAAAACTGAGTGGAGAGATTGTGTAACTTGCTCACATCTCATGAATAGTAAGTGGTGAAGTTAGGAAATGAATTCGGGCAGCCTGACTCGAGACATGCTCTTATGTCCAATTACACAAGGAGATGAATTTTAGTAGTGGCTAGGGGATAGAAGGAGTGAAAATGATCTACAGTGGCTGTCTAAAAGTATCTTTCGCAAACACTAGTTTTTCAGAATGTTAATGGATGTGATGCAAGAAAGGGGATAAACATCAAATAAAATACTGGGATAAACAAAATAAACATGCTTTCTACTGCTGGAGATCTAAGAGCTTTTAGAAGTTTAATTTTCATTGAAAACCTCCAAACAAGTGTTATATAATATGTAGAATTTCCCAGACTTATTTGACCATAAATCTCTTTTATAATTTAATCTTTTGGGGTATAGCGTTCTGGAATACAATCCAGAAACTGTTGATGTGGAGATCCTGCTTTGGGCACAAGATATGGAGCAACAGTGTTGTGGATAAAATAGTAAATTTGGTTTGGATATCTTGAGTGTCAAGTGCCTCATGGGAAGATTCATAATAGAATATTGTCGATTTAGGTCTTAAGAATGCACCAGAATTGGAGAGGTAGATGTGTAAGTCCCTCATAGGTGGGTGACAATGAAGACTCGAGCTTAGTTGCAAGCTCACTAAGGGGAAGAGAGAAAGGGAAGACCAAGGAGTTCATTTTGGGTGTTGCCTACTTCCAAAGTCAGTTTGGGCAGGGCTTGGCTGATGTTTAACTGATATTTAAAATTGATAACATTTTGTTCAGTTATTTCTAATGGTGAATTGTCTGTTAAGTTTCAGCATATCCACATGTATAATTTAAGCCATAGATGTTTTTAATAACTGTATTTCTCCAGTATAATTGACCAAGTAGGAACACAAATTTCTTAATTTATTAAAATATTAGGCCAGGCGCAGTGGCTTACACCTGTAATCCCAGCACTTTGGGAGGCCGAGGCATGTGGATAACCTGAGGTCAGGAGTTCGAGACCAGCCTGACCAACACGACGAAACCCCGTCTCTACTAAAAATACAAAAATTAGCGGGCGTGGTGGCAGGTGCCTGTAATCCCAGCTACTCGGGAGGCTGAGGCAGGAGAATTGCTTGAACCCGGGAGGTGGAGGGTGCAGTGAGCCGAGATCATGCCACTGCACTCCAGCCTGGGCGACAGAGCAAGACTCTATTAAAAAAAAAATTAGCCTGGTTGATCTCTTTTCTCTTGGGGGAGATGGTCTCTAATATGAACACAGACATAGCTCAACTTTAAGTGCAATGATGTAGACTCCTGATTAGCCTTCCAAATGTAACTTGCCCCCATGACTGCCTTATATAAATTTAAGGGAATATTATTTCCTACATATGAAAATATCCTTAAATTTTAAACAAGAGATCTCCTGTTAATTTAATCCATGGCAACAGAGATTTTCTCAAACCAAATAGTTCCAGGAGGATCTATTTTAGCTGCAACATCTGTGAGCCATTCTAAAGGCTTTCAATAAAAAATAAAATCATATAATATGTGACTAGAAACAACAAAAGCCAAATTGGATTGCTCTCTGGAAAAGGAATTTCAAATTGTGTTTTAAACCTACAGACTTTTGGGAGGAAAGGTTTAAAAAAATTATATTTATTTATGTAAAAACAAATGGCTTCAGGCAAATGAGCTATTCAATCCTCGATTTTGTTGAGGACATGTTTTCAATGTAAGGCCAATGTTAACCTAAAACAAGATAAAATTAAGGAGAGAGAATGAGTTTAGCTATTCTTTTTTCCACATTCTCTTAACCCCTCTCCAGTTCATTATTTTTTTTCCACATTCTCTTAAACCCTCCCCAGTTCATTTTAGACACTTTTGGTAGATGAATATACCTAAAGCACAGGGTTTAGTCAGTCTTGTAATTTCTCTGCATGCAAAATCTTAATGGTTCTCCACCATGTAGGTATTGAAGTCCAGACCCCTTAGACTAACATCAGGGTCCCACAGGCCCAGGATTTTGTGTGGCTTTTTTTTTTTTTTTTTGAGATGGAGTCTCCCTTTGTCGCCCAGGCTGGAGTGCAGTGGCATGATCTCAGCTCACTGCAACCTCCGCCTCCCAGGTTCAAGCGATTCTCCTGCATCAGCCTCCCGAGTAACTGAGATTGCAGGCGCCCACCACCACAACCAGCTGATTTTTGTATTTTTAGTAGAGAATGGGTTTCATCATGTTGGCCAGGATGGTCTCGATCTCTTGACCTCGTGATCTGCCCTCCTCGGCCTCCCAATGTGCTGGGATTACAGGCGTGAGCCATCGTGCCCAGCCTGTGTGGCTTTTCAGTCTGATCTCCTATTGCTCTGCTTCTTGCCTGGAAGATTCCAACCAGCTCGACTGCTTGTTTACCACACACAAACTCTACATTCCTCATTCTGCTTCTTTGCTTATATTTTTTCTTTTTTTAGATTACTTTTCTTTCTTCACCAACTCCAGCTAGAGGTAAATCGCTTCTTCTCTTATCTCCTCCTTATTTCATATAGAATTCCTAACACACTTAACCATTTTCTAACTTGTATTATCGCTGTACAGGAAGGCTGCATGGTGGGGCAGAAAGATTCATGCAGCCTTGAGGATCAGCCAGACGCCAGTTTCATATTCCATCTCTGTGTCTTATTAGCTAAGTGGCCTTTGGCAATTCTCTTAACCTGGCTGAGCCTCAATTTTCTTATCTGTAAAATGGAGATAAAATGTCATCTGTAAGATTTTTCAGCATTCTACTTGGCACACAGACATTAATATACATTAGCCTCATTTTCAATAGAGCTTAGTCCTGTGTTTGCTTTCCAAGTAGGTATATATCATCTCTACTAAAAGACTGTAGAATTGGAGAAAAATTACCTACTTAATTTGGCTGTTAAAAGAGTTTTTAAAATAATGTATACAAAGCATATAGTTTAGTTCCTGGCACAGAGTAATCATAATAAATGGCAGCTCTATTGTTGCTATTATTTTTTAAGAGTATAAACTTCTGTAAGTAAGGCTTGTGTGCAATTTATCTTTGAATTTCTGCCAGGGTTTAGCAGTGTTTAGTTGATGCTTAACTATTATTCATGGAATGTATACTTCCATATTTTTGGGATCAAGTTTGTAAAGTGAGAAATAATGATTTCAGAAATACCAAAGATAGGTCTATTTTGTAGGTTTTATTTCTGAAATAATCCAGGTGCATTTAATTAAATTTGGTGCCCAATTCAACACTCAAAAGCATAAAGAGCAGAGCTCCAGAAGAAAACATCTTTACAAATGTCTTTTTAAAGAAAATTGTGATAAAAATACACACAACATAAAATTCAACTATTTCTAACTGTACAGTTCAGTAGTGTTAAGTATATTCACATTGTTGTGAATATATAATTTACCCTTGAACAACACAGATTTGAACTGTGTGGGTCCACTTATACATGAGCTTTTTTCAATAAAAGTTATACCAAGTGGGCTGAGCACGGTGGCTCACCCCTGTAATCCCAGTACTTTGGGAGGCTGAGGCAGGCAGATCACAAGGTCAGGAGATTGAGACCATCCTGGCTAACACGGGGAAAACCTGTCTCTACTAAAAATACAAGAAAACTTAGCTGGGCATGGTGATACGTGCCTGTAGTCCCAGCTACTTGGGAGGCTGAGGCAGGAGAATCACTTGAACCCAGGAGGCAGAGGTTGCAGTGAGTCGAGATCGTGCCACTGCACTCCAGCCCGGGTGACAGAGTGAGACTCTGTCTCAAAAAAAAAAAAAAAAAAAAAAAGTTTACACCAAGTGTGCTTACCTCTCCTGTCTCTCCTTTCACCTCCTCCACCTCTTCCGCCTCTGCCATTCTTGAGACAACAAGACCAACCCTTCCTCTTCCTCTTCCTCCTCCTACTTCACCTACTCAACATGAAGATGATGAGGATGACACCTTTAGGATGATCCACTTCCAATTAATGAATAGTAAAAATATTTTCTCTTTCTTATGATTTTCTTAATAATATTTTCTGTCTCTACTTTCTATTGTAAGAATACAGTATCTAATACATACAGCATGCAAAATATGTGTTAACTGACAGTTTATCAGTATGGCTTCCAGTCAACAGTAGGCTATTAGTAGTTAAGTTTTTGGAGAGTAGTTAAGTTTTGGGAGAGTCATATGTGGATTTTTGACTGCACGGAGTTGGGAGGGGAAATTGGCATCCCTAACCTCCATGTTGTTCAAGGGTCAACTATAGTTCTGTAGTTCTCCAGATCTTACAAATCTGGACTCCATACTCATTAAACAACAACTCCCTTTTTCACCCTCCCTGCAGCCCTCAGTCACCTCCATTCTATTTCCGGTTTCTAAGAAGAAAACATTTTTAAAAGGAAAAAAAAAAAAAGAGGAGAATTCTATTATGAGTACCCCATCCATTAATTATCACTGGAGGTGAAAAAACAAAGAAAAATAAGAAAACAGAGAGATGTCCCTAGCACACAGAGCCTGTCACATGCTGAGTTAATAAGACTAAAACTTGGAGCAAACTCGTCCTTGGCTGGGAAGCCAGAGATGAATATCAAGCCTTGTCTAGGATGCAAGAGGGGAAGTAATGCAGGAAGGCCAGAATCAGTTTCTGGATATTAGAACAGAGCAAGGCCAAGAGCTGAATTAGGGGTGAGACCACAACCACAGTCTAAGGGCTATCATGAGATTTCAGTAAGAAGACAGGGAGGAAATGGAGAGAAGAGATGAAGAAGGAAAGGGCAATAAACCTAGTTCCTGTGGGTGGGTCTGACTCTTGGGCATCTTTTAAAGGACTAAACATGGGCCTCTTGGGCAACACTGGGCGGTGCCTTCTGGCACGTGCTCCAGGTTGCTGGGATGGGCAGCAAATGAGGAAGGACCTCTTCCCACCTCTCCACTTGACTAAGTGGTGATTATAAGAACTGAGGCGCACAAATATTTTCACCTGATTTCATGAATATAGACATATTTTTTGGAGGAGTCGATGGAGAGGGTTGGAAAAAATAGGATTTATCTGGGTCACGCCCACTTTCAAATGGGCCTGCTGGGAAAGAAGATGCTTAAGGAAATCAAGGCAAAAAAAAAAAAAAAAAAAAAAAAAAAAACTTCTAAACTAAAAATCATGAGTCCTAGATTGTTTTCCAACTCCACCCAGTCTTTTTATGTATGACCTTTGGCTAGTCCAATCTACTGGCCTTCGTGTTCCCCTTAGGATCAATTTCCTTAAAATTTTCAAGAACTTTGTATATCAAGTTGATTCACTGAATAAAACCAGATATAGTCTTACCCTTGTATGGTGACTACTTTGGTTTTTTGATTCTCAAAATTGTTCCACAGTCATATTAAAAGTTAACACTTGGTGGTACACATATCTGAAAACTAAGGTTAGCCCAAAGAATAAAACAAAATGAACTTTAATAAATGATTTAGCTGCCGTAACTAAATCAATTTCTTGATCATGAACTACTTAAGGACAAACTTCCTTTTTTGTCCACACCCATCTTCCTTAGACTACCATGGTAGTCTGCGTGGGCTAAGAGGACAGTAGCCGCCTGGAGTGTCCAGACAGCAGGCTCAGAAGACAGATGTGAAGTCAGTCTTCTGCCCCATTCCTTCTGCTGTATTAGAAATACAGTGATGAAGGGACACACATAGTCCTTTGAGTCTTGGACCTTACAGTCTAATGCAGAATAAGGGAGCTTATATTCTAATATAAAAGAACGTATTAAAAATAATCCAGAAGAGAATTAAAATGGTGATACCTCATGAGAAGTTCTAGGAAAGTAATAAAACAGAAATAGTGATATACATTAAGAAGAGAGATCTTTAGCGAAGAAATGCCCTGGAATGCAATATCAAGTTTTTTCAAAGTAAGCAAGCATGTGACCATGACTTATTATATTTTAATACCCGGCTTCTAATTTTGTCCATAGCAGCAGCATGGTGTTTTACTGTACAGTCTCTGGACGAGGGACGGAGGTTGTCTCCTCTCACCTTCCCACTGGTCTGCCTTGAATTTCTTTCCTCCCTCCTTACCTAAAGTTCTCACTTTCTTGCCCTGCTGTGACTTAGTTTTCTATTGCTACTCTAACAATTTACCATAAATTTATTGGCTTAAAATAACACAAATGTATTACTTCACAGTTCCAGAATTCCAATGCAGGTCTTACTGGGGTAGAATCAAGGTGTTGACATAGCTGCAGCCATTCTGGAGGCTCTAGGGGAGAATCTGTTTCTTCACCTTTTCCAGCTTTTAGAGGCTCCACCTGTTCCTTGGCTCATGGCTCCCTTCCTCCATGTTCAAGGCCAGCAGTCTAGTATCTCCTTGACCCTCCTTCCATAGTCGAATCTCTTCCTTTTATCACAGCTAAGAAAAGTTCTTCAGTTTTTAAGACTCAAGTGATTAGACTGAGCCCTCCTGCATAATCCAGGATCATCTCATCACTTCAAGATCTTTAATTTAATCACATTGCAAAATCACTCTTATCATGTAAGCTAACATATTCACAGTTTCCAAGGATAAGGATGTGGATATATTTGAGGGCCATTATTCCACCTTCCACACTGAGATAACTAGAGCTTTCAGGTTTCTCATGGGAGAATTAAAGCCTATCATCTCTGGAAAAACTTTCATTCCCTCAAATATTGGCTAAGAATTATGGAGACAGTAGAGAAATAAACACATTCACAGTAAGGTTGTAATAGCTGGCACAGTCTATAGTTTCTTGTGGCATTTGATTACAAATGTTAAAAAAAACTTCAATGGGTCATATTTCTGGCTATATTACAGGTAGGCATATACTTCTTGATTTCAACTGGACTGTTCTCTTTTGAGTAGAATTATCTCATAATAGGGACAGAGGAGGGAAAAAATAAAACTTGCAGACTCTCCTCTGCTGTAGGGAGAGGCGAGAACTACTTTGATTTCTCTCCCCAACACATTTTGTTTGGAGATGAGGTCCAAACAACCTTAGTAAAGGCCAGGTTTTAGCATGTAAATGAATAGAGCAAACTCCTTGTGAGAGAAGTTCAAAATAGAGAAACTGTGCATGAAATAGAAATACCTCTTTTAACTCTGCCTTGTCATAGGTTCATCAACTTTACAGACCCTTTGATCTTTTTCATATGCTCATGACCATTTCTGACCCTTAGCTCTCTCCTCCTCACCCTGCCACTATCAAGCTAAGACTAGAGAAGCAGGAATATCTAGCCTTCTCTGTCAAGGAACTCAGAGCAACTTCCTATTACATTACATATCTTTTTCTCAATTCCAGTTTCCATATCACCTTTTCCCCCACATCAGGAAAAATCTATAACCCATTTCAGCACCTAACAGAGTACTTGGCTAATGATATGTGCACAATAGGTATTAAATGAATAAATGAATAATTTCTGATCTAGGAAACTGAGCTGTAATGACTGTGTGGCAGCAGCTACCATTGATTGAATACCTACTTATTGTACTGAGGCAGCTTTCCCATATTTTCTAGGTCTTCACATATTTTATCTCTTTAATCTTCCCACCAATTCTATGAGGTTGGTATTACTGTCTCTATTTTAAGATCAGGGGCTTTAAGAAACTTCCCTAGGATTACACAGCTAATAAGAGAGCCAGGACTTAAAGTGAGATCTGTCTCACACCTAAGTCCACTGTTCTTCCTGACTCTGTGCTGCTCCCTTCCTCCTTACCATCTTGGTCCAGTGAGAAACTCAGATAAGCATTAGCTAACAAACCTCCAGTCTTAGCTTGATAGTGGCAGGGTGGGGAGGAGAGAGCTAAGGGTCAGAAATAGTCCTGAGCATCATTATGAGCACGAAATACTTTTAACTGTGCTGTAATGATTATGTGTGGTATTCAATATGGGTTAGATGAATACTTATGGCTGTTTTGATTGCTCTCTTTATAGAGTTATTATTTTTGCCTATGTGTATGATTACTCAAAAGGTGTAAAAACTTTAGCCAAGAATCAAGCAAATTGCCAAACTTTATAACTAAATCCTGCCTGGGTTGGTCTTTTAGAGACCCTATATCATCACCTAGTGAGGCTTCCTCAAACCCTGCTATCTATAATTCAGAATTTAAAAAAATTTCTAAACTATAAGAGAAAAAGGTGACTAAGAGGATTTTGATTTCTGGGGTGCCTATTTTAAAATTCTTTTTGAAATATCACTTTTTAACAAATAATTTTTGTGTTTCTGATTTGCCGGTGCTGCCAACATGGGTTAACAGTGTCCACCGGGTAATCTGGCACTGGGCTTCGCTATTAAGTTGCTAAGTCTTTGGGTTTCTAGAGGAAAACTGGGAGAAAGCTGGGTGGCCAAGTGAACTGTGAAACCCAAAGACCTCTTGAGGTCACTTGAGTTTACTTCAGTACGTTTTTTTTTTTTCCTCCTCATACCATTTGTTCATACTCTTTCTTAGAAAAGCTAGGTTTGTATTCTATGTCGCAATGGATGATTTTCCCTACGTTTTAAACTCCCATATCTGTTTTAAACTCCGGGGAAAACTGTTCCTTGTTAGGATCGATGCACATTTTTCTTCCTTGGGTTTTGCATCGGTAAATTTCTAAAGATCCCTTTTCCGTAGAGCTTTCAAGATGAATAGCCAGTTCATAAAAACTGTCAAGTGCCTTGCAAATACCAAGAAATAATTCAGTCATGTTAATCTTTTACATGCAAATTTTGTTTCTTGTTATAGAAGTGTAAAATATGTAGTCATATGAAACCCCTTTGGTTATGTATTTAGGGATCCCAGGAGGATACATTGGATGAAAACCAATATTCACTCTAACAAGCACTTACTGAAATTCCATTAGGTGCGAAGAACCATGGTAGGTACTAAGGACACAAAGATGAAAATGATTCTCCAAATTGATCAGCCTGGACGTTGTTTCCCTCTGAAATCAATAGATTAATCATTTTTTAAATTTCTTGAGGCTCACGTAAGTAATTCTGATTTTCATAAGCACATATGAATATTCAGTTATTTGTGTAATAGTCTTATTGATAAAGTAACTTGGATATAGAGCTCCAGTGAGAGTTTCTGGATTCATGGCTAAGCCAATATTTAACTATAAGACAATAAAAAACACAGCAGTAAAAACTGAATTGGGCTAATTCATGATAAATAATCTCTGGGGTATTATCCAAAATGTTTTCTGCCTACACAAAAAAAGAAAATAAAGAAACACATTTGCCAAGAGAAGAGGAGGCTTGGAGGTAAATGGGGCACAGACTCTTCATCTGGATAATGTTTCTGTTCTATTAACATGCATCTGCCACACTGGGAATGTTGCTATTTCTTTTTGTTAGAGTGATGGCCTACATGTTGCCATGAGATGATCAATAGAAAAGTTTTAGAAGAATGAATATTAGAAGACTATGGAATAGAGTCAGAGAGAGGGAGAACCTAGGGAAATTGGTGGAGGCAGGGGAATACACCCAGAAACTGGGGTATATGGGGTGGGCGAGGAAGTAGAGAAAAAGAGTACATAAGGATAAGAAGGAGAGAGAAGTGAGAAAAAAAGAAAATAATAAAATAGAGTGAAAATGACAGGAAAGAGACTACACAGATGAGAATGAGGGGAAAAGGGAAGTTAACGGAGGAAGAAAAGGACAAAAAATGTTTAGAAGTAGAAGACAGAGGCTTCAATGAGACAGAGTAAAATGCTCACAACACTCTCTAGTGTTGGATTCTAAGATCCCAAGTCTGTTGTTGCCACAGCCAATTAACAGCACTAGTTATGGGCCTATCTAACAAGGAGACAAGTTCCAATTCTGTGCAAGAGTACTGCTTCTCAGCTATGTCTATGTGCCAAGCAGAAAAGCTCGATTCCAGCAGTCAAGGAAACCTGCCTATGCCTTGTTGTCATCTTAGCCTTGAGCCATGGCTTTCTTTGTGAAGCTTCGGGAATGGGTCAGGGTTCTCTAGACTAATGGAGTTGAGGCTAAGATGGACCATGCTTGGCTAGCACCTCTTCTGCTCCTTACCAGGTAGAAATCCAGCCTCATGTAGAGGAGTGAATAATCTTTAGTGACTTTAGTGAATAAGCTTTATTCACTTTATTCATTTTAGTGAATAAACTTTAGTGACTATGCAACATAGCAAAATAAAACGTGTTTTTTCTGCCTCACTGAGAGCAGAGGCACAGTGAGCACTCAACAAACAGATTAGAGTAGGAGAATGAGTGAAAGGAAAGAATGCTTTATAATGCTATTTGAACAATAATACTCTTCCCTGCCTCAAAAAAAAAATCCCCCAATGAAAACTTCCTAAAAATATTGCATATTATCTTCAGGCTATACATCATATTGTCAATGTTTGTGAAATGATGTCACTAGCAGCATCAATTAGTGAGGAAAAAAAGGCCCTCAATTTTTTGGTAACTAAAAACAAACACAACTTAACTTGGCTATTATTTATATTATTTTAAATATAAAATAGAACAATGTCTAAGTGTTTGGTGCACTGTAATGTAATGAATCATATCACGGGTCATGCTTTGCATAATGTTGTGCCTGCATTATGAGAGAATTGACATCATTTTATTATTGATTCCTCTTACCTCTGGATACAGTAATGTCTTTCCATGTAGTCAGAGCCTCTTTAATATCTGTCAATATTTTAATATTTCTTTCTAAAAAGTTCTTGCGCACTGTTAGATTTATTCTCAAGTATGTTATATTTTTTGCTGTAGTTAATATTACATTTTTAAAATTACATTTTCTCTTTTTGGATAGTGTAGAGGCAAATTATTGCTTTTTGAATAATTATCAGTTATCACACAACCTCTCTGAGGGCCCTTATTTTTTCTAGTTTTCTGCAGATTCTCTTGCATTCTCTATGTTTATAATCATCATCAATAATAATGACAGATTTTCCTCTTTTTATTTTTCTATTTTATTTTTGTCTTGTACTGAGTGAGACTCCAGTTTAAGTCAGGGTAGTGGACATCTTCTTCCCTTGTATTTTCATATTTTAAGGGATTGCTTTAAATTTCTCTTGTAATGTGTAGCTCGTTATAGGTTTTCTGAAAGACACTCATTATGAAGATAAGGAAATCACTCTTATTCCTAGTTTGCTAAGAGTATTTATCAAATCAGAAGTTGCTGAATTTTACCCGTTTTTTTCTGAATCCATTCGAGTAATCATATGATTTTTCTTCTTTTAATCCTTAATGTGGTAAATGTATTTAAATAAATGCATTGTTAGGTTTTGCTTACTCTGTCTAAAAGGAAGTTTATATTTATGAGGACAAAGGAGATGGATGTATAATTTTCCTGTCTCATGTTATACTTTTCTGATTTAGGGATCAAGCTTTACATGAATATATAACAAAGGATTAGGGAGCTTTCTCTCTTTTAGTGTTCCCAGAGCAGTTGGAGATGACAGGAATGATCTGATTCGTGAATGTTTGGTAGAATTTGTGAAATAGTCTGAGCAGTGCTTGGGATTTATATGTATATAAATGTGTGTTAAGAGGTTACTATTCAGGTGTATTATATTCAAGAGTCAGTTTTGATAAGTTATTTTTTTCTAGAAAATTATACATTCCCTCAAGTATGCAGATTTATTAGCACAAAATTATTGATAGTATTTTCTTATTGCTTTCTATTTAGGCTACATCTGCAGATATGCCCTCCCATTTTATTTCTAATATTGTTGTTTCTTTCCCTTGAGAAATCTTACCAAAGATTTGTCTATTTTATTAGCTTTTCAAAGAATAAGCTATTGATTTTGTGTTTCTCTCTAAGGCATTAAATATTTTCTCTGTAATTTTAGGCCTTTTGTCTCTTCTCTTTTTTTCTTTTTTTTCAGCTGTATTTTTTCTGCTTTCTTATGTTGTCCATGTAATTCATCAATTTCTATTCTAAAATAACATTTAAAGTGAAAACTTACATTACTGCTTTGCTACCCACAAATGTTCATATGTGGTATTATGTTTTGATATATTTTTTATATCATATACTTGATATCATATTTTCAAATATTTCAGTTCTGAGTATTTTCTAATTTATAATTATATGTTTGTATAATAGACACACACATATGTGTGTGTGTATGTGTGTATACATATATATGTGTGTGTGTATATATATATATATATATATATATATATATATATACGTTTTATGTGCCAATTTCCAAATACGGGTTTTTTCCCAGATATATTTCCATTATCAACTTATTATTTGTGTTTTAATCAGAAAATACAGTCACCCAGATCATGTCATAATTTCCCATTTGGTTGAGGCTGACATGCTGACTATGGTTTCTGTTTGGTTATAGTCTAAACATTATACATCTGTTATATATCTGAAGGAAATAGAAGAATCCTGCATTTTTCTGGGAGGTGTTGAGGATCTAGAATGTGGGAGTGACATGATAAGGCCCTCCATAGAGAAATCACTGCTTTAGATCACCTTCGACACAAACTCTCTCTCCTTCCTCTCTCATGCTGGTCTTGACTCCTTGTTCATCAGAGTCAGCCACTAGCTGGTTACACTTTTTAAAACATTCATCTCTGTACACTAACTTCAGAGTAGTAAATGCTCTAGAATATTTCTTACTCCAATGGAAAGATGTTTTTCCTTTTTAAGCAAACTGAAGACTTTCTCCCAGGCTGTACTTCATACGGTCAGCATTAGTGAAATTGTGTTACCTGTAGCGTCAGTTGGTAAGAAGAAAAAAAGTTCCTGTAATTTTTCAGTAACTACTTTAAAATGGTCATAACTTGATTTGTAGGAAATGAAGGGCTAATGGCTCTAAAGAAAAATCACTTAATTTTGAACAATGTAAATGCCTATTTTTATTTCCCCTCCCCATGAAGGAAATATTCTATAGTCACCAATTTGGGTAGGAATTTGAAATAAGATTGTGAAAGTTTTTGTTTGTTGTGTTTCGTTTTAGTGCTGGGAATAATTTTAGTCATCAGCCAAGGCTTTTGATTAACAAATGAGGAAACTGAGTCCCAAAAAGGTTGAGGAATTTGCCCCTGATCATACCGCTTGTTCCTGGAAAAGCTGGAAATGGAATCTGGTGTTTTGCCCGTCTCGCCACACTGGCTTATTTGAATGCTCTGCTCTTTATAAAGCTTCTAACTAAAGATGTGAAGATTTTTTTTTCCCTCACAGCTCAAAATTTAGCTTGTCAATATCCTGATGAGCTACAAACTTGGCAGAGTTGTGAATCCTGCAAAAAAGTAGGGAGTGGGAATTTTCCATATTTTTTAAATTATCAAACGCTGAAATTAATGACATATGCTATTGCTAGAGATCCTCAGATTCTGGCAATGTGATGTTAAATCTTTCCATTTTTTTGTTAGAACATGAAGCAGGCTTCTTTACTCAATGGGAGCAAACATCAGATATGATGTGAGATCAACACATGAGCCCTCAACAGCCGGTAGACACAAGATAGAAGGCTATCAAGGGAACATCCAATAATCACAAAATTCAACACAATCAGAGTGTATGCTGATGA